>NC_000012.12:117308612-117460128 GCF_000001405.40 Homo sapiens
TTGAGACAGAGTCTTGCTCTGTCGCCCAGGCTGGAGTGCAGTAGCATGATCTTGGCTGACTGCAACCTCTGCCTCCTGGGTTCAAGCGATTCTCCTGCCTCAGCCTCCTGAGTAGCTGGGATTACAGGCACCCGCCACCATGCCCAGCTAATTTTTGTATTTTTAGTAGAGACGGAGTTTCACCATGTTGGTCAGGCTGGTCTTGAACTCTTGACCTCGTGATTTGCCTCCCTCGGCCTCCCAAAGTGCTGGGATTACAGGTGTGAGCCACCGTGCCTGGCCATAGATTATGTAAATTTTAAAGAGAAGCTGTAGATATATTTATGTAAAAATTTGAAACATTGGCAATACATTTAAAACATAACTATAAATTATCTCTTAATACAATACGGGGTAGACCTAACAAATCAGGTCTGCAGGCTAGATCTGGCCCGAGGCTGCCTCTTGCTGTCTTTCTTTCTCTTGTGAGGGCTCATATGATGGCCATACCTCTTTGTTTTGAATTAAGAAAGAAAATATAGAAGAGCTTTAAACCATATTTGTTCATTTAATCATGAATGGAGAATAGTTTCCTAATGCTTCAGTGTGGTCTTGACTTTTGAGGACAACATAATAAAAGTCTACAGTTGTGCTTTTCCACCAAACATTTCCAGATATCACTGCTAGAGGGACATTCAGCTAGTGGGACCATGGGTCTGACCTACCACAGAATCCCTGATGTCCTTATCTTCCTGGCCAGCCATCAGCGGCTAAGGAAAGCAGTTACCACCAAGGCTCTAGAATGTCTCATCCTCCCCGCTGAAGCTGTGTAGAGAACTTTGAGGCCTTGTTTAGGTGCGCTGGCAGTGAAAGCTGCCATCTGTAGGCCAAGCATCAGGAAAATGAAGCCGGTCATCACTTGCTGAGTCACCTAGGCCACCCCCATGTTTCGACCTCCCACCGGTCACGCCAACTTCACTGCAATGCAGAGGATGGGTTTGAAATTCACACGATTCCCTAGGGTTGCCCTGGCCTGGCCCATCAGCTTACTGGACAGGTAAGACAAAGGTGCTGCTGATCTCCAGCCAAACCTAGCCACTCTTTGGAAATGATATTGACTTAGCTGTCAAAACACATCTGAACAGATTGGCAGAGACTAAAAAGTTGGATAACAGATGGAGTTGGCGAGGCTGTGAAGAAACAGTCTCCTAGTTAGCCGGTAAGATTGATCCAACCACTATGGCAAGTACCACAAAAATCACAAATGTACGTGAATTTTGGCCCAACAATCCCACTTCTAGGAATTTATTCTATTTTGTTTTTTTGAGACAGGGTCTCGCTCTGTTGCCCAGGCTAGAGTGCAGTGGTGCAGTAATACAATCACAGCTCACTGCAGCCTTGACCTTCCAGGCTCAGGTGATTCTCCCACCTCGGTCTCCAGGGTGGCTGGGACAACGGGCATGTGCCACCATACCCAGCTAATTTTTGTTATTTTTTTTAGAGATAGGGTTTTGCCATGTTGCCCAGGCTGGTCTCAAATTCCTGGGCTCAAGTGATCCTCCTGCCTCGGCCTTCCAAAGTGTTGGATTACAGGCGTGAGCCGCCATGCCTGGCCTTTAGGAACTTATTCTATTGATAAGCCTGCCCATGTGCCAAATAAGGTATGGGCACAAGGTCACTCATTACGGCACTGTCATAGCAAAATATTGACAGTGGCTCATTATGAAGGACTGATACAATAAATTACAGGATGATCACAGAATGAAATATTATATGGCTATAAAAAAGGAACCAAGATCCTCTTTACCCACTAATGGGGACTAATCTATAAGATATGTTAATAAGTGAAAAAGCAAGATATAAAACAACATGTGTAATGTGCTCTTACTTGTGTAAAAATATTCAAAATTAATGTGTGTGTTTGTCAATGCATAAAACACGGCTAAAAGAACACACAAAAACCATTAATATTGCTTGATTCTGGGGAGGAAAACTATGTGACTAGGATTAGGAACAGATAGAGCTTTTCATCATGTATCTTTTTGCTTATTTATTTCAATATTTTTTTAGAGACAGGGTCTCACTCTGTCACTCAGGCTAGAGTGCAGAGGTGCTATATCACAGCTCACTGCAGCCTTGAACTCCTGTCCTCAAGTGATCCTCCTGCCTCAGTCGCCTGAGTAGCTAGGAACTACAGGTATATGCCATTATGCTCCACTAATTAAAAAAAAATTTTTTTTTTAAAAGAGATAGGGTCTCGCTATGTAGCCCAGGCTGGTTGTCTTTTTTTTCGAGATGGAGTCTTGCACTGTCACCCAGGCTGGAGTGCAGTGGTGCAATCTCGGCTCACTGCAAGTTCCGCCTCCCAGGTTCACACCATTCTCCTGCCTCAGCCTCCTGAGTAGCTGGGACTACAGGCGCCCGCCACCATGCCAGGCTAATTTTTGTATTTTTTGTAGAGATGGGGTTTCACCATGTTGGTCAGGCTGGTCTTGAACTCTGGACCTCAAGCTATCCTCCGCCTTGGCCTCCCAAAATGCTGGGGTTACAGGCATGAGGCACTATGACCAGCTACCATGTATCTTTTATATCTTTTAAATTTGGAATCATGTGAATGCCTTTCCCAGAAGAAACAGAATTAAAATGTGAAAAACGGCATCTCACAAACAATACCAAACCACACAAAAACAAAGTCGAGATCCACATCCGAGGATAAGCACTCCTGACCTCGGCCTCCCAAGCTCTCCAGCCACGGCGGCTGATTTCCATCATGACACAGTTTAGGATTTAGCTTCCCTCCCCTCAGCTTCCCACCTGGGAGGGGGTCGAGAAGGCGTGGGAAGCAGTGGTACCAGCTTGGCATCAAGCACTTACCTGCTCCTTCTCTGAATATGGGTTGTTGAGGACGACAGGCACATTGCCCTTCCCCCATAGGTCATTGAAGACTCGGTCGTTCTCCACGCCGAGGGGCAGAGGTTTGTGTGACTTGCCGTCCAAATCTCTGAAAGGCAAGGTGGGGCAGGTGAGGAAGGGGACATCAGGAGGGACTTGCTGGTTGCTTTGACCTGGAAGTCCTGAGTCTGTACAGAACCTCAGTAGCTCACTCACATAACTCCATATGAGCCAGCGAGCTTTGGGTACCCATCCTGCTGCTTCATAAAGACGGACAGTGACACGTGGGAAGGCAGCTCTGGGTGTCAATCACAAAGGGAGCTCATCCAAGGTGACCTTGACAGCTGATGTATCCCTAACTTTGTGGACATCATTTCAGGATGGCAAGGAGAAGGATTTTGCTTGTCCCTCTCCCTTCTTCATTCCATGGATCTGGGAACACAGGAGGCCTGTTTCCTAGTAATACTCCATGTACCATGAACCCCTGGACAACTTACTGTTCATGACACCTACCAGTGGAAAAAGTAGGAGGTAGGAAGGATAGAGAGGTCCTGTGGGCTTTGGGTAATAAGTTATTCTGACCCTGGCTAAGACTTTCGGCTTTGAACAATAGCAGCTCAGGACAAACAGAATGATTCGGAAAATAAAGGGAACATAATGACAAAAATAATAATACTATTAATAAGGAGAGATAGCATTTATTAAACGCTTACTATGTGCCAAGGACTTTACATGTGGGTTTTTAAAAAATATTATTTTATCTATATTAGACACGGGTTCTCCCTGTGTTGGCCAGACTGATCTCTAACTCCTGGGCTCAAGCGATGCCCCTGCCTCAGCTTCCCAAAGTGCTGGGATTACAGGCGTGAGCCACCATGCCTGGCCATGTGTTTTAGTGCATTTAACTCTTGTGACAACCCTTTGAGGCAGGAATGACTGTTTTTCGTTTTTTTCCCCAGCCTTGTCCTGTCATCCCAGCTGGAACACAGTGGCACAATCACAACTCTCTGCAGCCTTGATCTTCTGGGTTCAAGTGATCCTCCTGCCTCAGCCTCCCGAGTAGCTGGGACTACAAGGGTGTACCACCATGTCTGCCTAATTTTTTTTTTTTTTATTTTCTGTACAGATAGGGTCTCACTGTGTTGCCCAGGCTGGTCTCGAACTCCTTGGTTCAAGTGGTCCTCCCACCCCAGCCTCCTGAAGTGCTGAGATTACAGGCGTGAGCCACTGAACCTGTCCAGGAATGATTGTTAATCACCATTTTATGGAAGGGGTAAGGGAGACAGAGAAGCTAAGTTGCTCAAGGTCACACAGTGGCAAAGCCTAGTATTCCAGCCCACTCATCACATCCATTCTAAAGTAGGGGCTGTCACTATCATCATCATCATCATCACCACCACCATCACCATCATCTTTATCACGACCACTACCACAATCATCACCATAGCCACCATCATTCTCATTGTTACCATCATGATTATTGTAATCATCATCATCTAACTTTCCTCATCAGCCTCCACCATAATCACCATCACCATCATCATCACCATAATCACCCTCATCGTTATCATCCTCAACCTCATCATATCCTAATCTTCATGATCAGTGCCATCACCTTCATTAGCAGCATCACCATTGTCACCATCTTCTTCCTCCTCCTCGGCATCAGGACCACACCAGCATCTTCACGACCACCAGCATCATCCTCACAATCATCATTACACGAGGAAACTATAGTTCAGAGTGACTAAGTCACTAGCCTAAGTCACACGCTAGTGATGGTGGATTCAAACCCAGGCTTGTTCTGGATGCTAGCGCCTGACTTTTTTTGGAGACAGTCTCGCCCTGTTACCCAGGCTGGAGTGCAGTGGTGCAATCATAGCTCACTGCAGCCTTGACCTCCTAGGCTCGAGCGATCCTCCCACCTCTGCCCCTCCAGTAGCTGGGACTACAGGCGTGCACCACCCTGCCTGGCAATGTTTTAAGTTTTTTTGTAGAGACAGGGTCTCACTGTGTTGTGCAAGCTGGTCTCAAACTCCCAAACTCAAGTGATCCTCTTGCCTCGGCCTCTCAAAGTGCTGGGATTACAGGTATGAGCCACCATGCCCGGCCAGAATCCGACTTCTTACCCACTAAGTTTTCCTGGCTTCCTGTCCCTGAACTCTAACAGGCTCAGGATGAGGTGATCTCAGCTAGGTTCCACAGGCTGGCCACCCTCTAAGATGGAGATAGGAGTTGGCACCAAAATCCAGATGGCCTCATCAGACCTGTCTCACTCTCTGAGTCCTTCTACTCTCTGAATACTGCCCTCCTACTTCCCAACAGCCTTTCTCCTTTTGGCTCCCCTATCCAATTTGACTCTGACCATGGCCTCTGTCTGTTCCCTAACTGGGCAATGCAGCTTGCCCTGTGGCTCATCTTGGTTTGGGTCCCAGGCATTAAGACTGGCCCTTGTCTTGCCCTCTGTTCTATGGTCCTAGCTTAGGGGACTCCCCCATCCCCCAATCTGGTACAATGACAGTCACCTGGGATGAATCAGAAGCCACAGTCCAAGCTCTGAGAGCACGATCCCCAGTGACCCCTCCAGCGGCTCCCTCTGAGCCACCCAGATCCCCTGCCTGCAGTGTTCCATGCTGTCCCTGTGGCCCACATCAAAACCACTTCTGCTTTTCTGCCTGGAGAGGTTTGCATTCATCAGAGGGAACATTCTGTTTTACCCTTTAAAATGTCACCAAAACATACCCAGAGTGGCTCTTGATTACAGGCATTTCCCAAGTCAACGGCTACCTACATGATCGTAAACAGAAGTATGGTCTGTTGAGAGTGCTGCTCTAAATGTCACTCAGTTCCCTTTCAGCTCTGAAACTACTGATCCTATATCACATGACCATAAATGAGGATTCAGCAGAGAAGGGAGGAGGTTAATGCATTTGGAGCCTCTATAATATTCTGGGTACTTGCACAGAAGTTATTTCATTTAATTTCAACAGACATTAAAAGCCCCCATTTTACACATGACAAAACTGAACCCAGAGGGGTTATGTAAGTTTCCCAAGGTCCCACCGTAAGCATATAGTACAGCTGGGATTTGAAACTAGGTGTGACTGATGGGCTGCCAAGATCCTTCCTTTTTTATTTTTTGAAACAGAGTCTTGCTTTATCACCCAGGCGGGAGTGCAGTGGGGTGATCTTGGCTCACTGCAACCTCTGCCTCCCAGGTTCAAGTGATTCTCCTGCCTCAACCTCCCACACAGCTGGGACTACAGGCGCACACCACCACGCCCAGCTAATTTTTGTATTTTTAGTAGAGATGGGGTTTCACCATGTTGGCCAGGCTGGTCTCGAGCTCCTGACCTCAGGCGATCCACCTGCCTTGGCCTCCCAAAGTGCTGGGATTACAGGAGATCCTTCCTTTTTTAAAACAGAGGTAGGAAAAACTGGTTAGGATGCTTATTCTAAGCCAGAGGCTACAGAGCAAGTAACCCAACATCTCCTGCTAAGTGCAGCCAATTTACAAAAATTATAAGCTACAATTACCTAGGCAACTTGGAAATGATCACATGGTTCATCTTATGTGAATTTGAATTTGCAGAGAGAGTTTCTTTTACCATCATTCTTTTTTTAAAAAAAATCCATTAAGACTTTGTTTAAATAATGCAGTTGAAGTGTTTTGCCAACAAAAACTTAATTTTGGAGTCCTGTGTGATGAGCACATAAAATTTTTATTATTTATTTTTTTTTAGATAGTCTTGCTCTGTCTCCCAGGTTGGAGTGCAGTGGCGTGATCTTGGCTCACTGTAACGTCCACCTCCCAGGTTCAAGTGATTCTCCTGCCTCAGCCTCCCTAGTAGCTGGGATTATAGGTACACACCACCACACCCAACTAATTTTTAAAATTTTTTTTATTTTTAGTAGAGACAGGATTTCACCATGTTGACCAGCCTGGTCTTGAACTCCTGGCCTCGAGTGATCCACCCAGGAAGGATATTTTTAATATGGGACCATGAGAAACATCCAGGTTGAACTATTTTGCTTCCCTTCACCCAGAAGCAAAATCAGAAGGAGATTTAGTTCGATTCTCAGCCCACAATCTGTCAGTGATAACCAGGTCTGAGGGAAATATCTGGCTTATTGCCACAAGTCTGTTCAACCTGGATCCACCTGTTTGCTGGGGTTGCAGGAGCAGTGTAGCATGCTGGTTAAGGATGTGGCTGTGGATTGGGTGGAACTGGGTTCAAGTCCTGGCTTTGCTGGTTATAAACTGTGCAACTTTGGACACTTCATGTCTCACACTCAGTTTACTCATCTGTTAAATAGGGTCAATAATATCTGCAATGATTAAGGGAGGTAAAGCTTATAATACTTGGCAGTGTGGCACCTGCTATCAGTCTTACTGCTTATGGAATATCAGAAGGAAACAGAGAAAGAAACTTCTAGCTCTGTGTAGAACACTGACTATTCCTCTAAGTCATCTCTGTCTAGTAGAACTTCCTGTGATGATGGAAATGTCTCATATCTGCACAATCCCATGTTATAGCCACTAGACACATGTGGCAATTGAGCATTTGAAATGTGGTTATTGTCATGGAGGAACTAAATTTTAAATTTTATTTAACTTGGATTGATGTAAATTTAAAGAGCCACATGTGGCTTAAGTCTATATTGTCAGACAGTGCAGCCGCTGGAAACCTATTAATGTCTCCAAAGACTGGGAATTGAAGGCACACGTGGCTCCAACCAGGGGGCATCTTTGCTGGGGGCTGGGGCACACGTGGGGAAGTCTACACTCAGATACTTTCTGAGCTGCCATGTCTTGTTCACAGAGCCCAGGAATTCGATAATTCTCTACTACCCTTCCAGACTCCTACCTCCTATCATTCTTGGCCCTGATCTCTTGACTCCTCCCTCTTCCCGAGGAGCACACCACGTCCACCCTTACCTTTATACTTAAGCTCCCCAGGTTGCTCTTTCATGTTCCCTCTGCTGAGAGCCAACTCCTACTCAGCCTTGACGGCCCACTTCATGTCCCACCTGTCACGGGAATTTAATGAGATCATGCATGTAAAATGCCTAGCACATAATCGGCACTAACTAAACATGAGTGATGTATATTTCCATTTAGAACTAAGAAAACGGATGCCCAGAGAGATTAGGTAATTTGTCAAAGGTCACACAGCAGGCAACAAGAGCTTGCAGATGAGATGTCTCTTCACTGTTATCCCAGCTGAGAGTCACTGTGTATAGGGCTTATGTGGGGGGCCTCTGGGAGGGCAGCATTTGGTTAGACCTCATATCTGAGAAGAACCTCAAACTTGGATGTTAGATGTTCTCTCCAAATGTGGTAGATGTGTTGAATATACTCATCTGTGAAATATAAATTTAGTAACTCTGTTTTTTTATTATTATTATTTTATTGAGACAGAGTCTCACTCTGTCACCCAGGTTGGAGTGCAGTGGCACGATCTCAGCTTACTGTGACCTCCGCCTCCTGGGTTCAAGCAATTCTCCTGCCTCAGCCTCCTGAGTAGCTGAGGTTACAGACGTGCACCACCAAGCCTTGCTAATTTTTGTATTTTTAGTAGAGACAGGGTTTCACCATGTTGGCCAGGCTGGTCTCCAACTCCTGACCTCAAGTGATCTATCCGCCTCGGCCTCCCAAAGCGTTGGGATTACAGGTGTGAGCCACTGCGCCTGGCCTGTTTTATTATTTATTCACCAAAAATATATTGAGAGCTCACAGAAGGAGATGGACAGGGCCTCTTTTGACTTCTGAGATGTCTGGATGGTAACTCCCCTTTAACAGTGCTCATGAGTCTTGGTCTTGCCCAGCTGCCTGGAATAATCTCAGTTTAGATCAGAGTTTCTCTACTTCCCCACTACTGGTATTTTGGGCCTGATAATTTCTTGTTGCCAGGACTGTCTTGTGCGTTGGAGGATGTTTGAGCAGCATTCCTGGCCTCTGCACACTAGATGCCAGTAGCACCCCTATCCCCAAAATTGTCACAACCAAAAAAATGCTTCCAGATATTGCAAAGTGCCCCCTGGGAGGCAAAATTGTACTCCTAACCATTGAGAGGCACTCTCAGTGGTTTAGATGTGGCTGAGCATCTCAACGCAATGCTTCCAAGTTCCTCCCCATCCTTGCTCTATGCTCACCCAAGGATCTGCAAGGACTTATTTACCAGCTGTCCCTTGTTCCCAGATGTAATTGAGGAGCTCGCCTTCACTAAATGGCCCTCACCCACCCCTCTCAGGTGTCCTTCTCTCTCTGGAAAAGCCATCCCCCAATGAGCTTGGCATTGTGGTGGCCAGTGTGGCCAGGGCTATCAGGTGGTCACATTTGGTGGTTCTCAAACTCCAGGGTGCATCCAAATCAACTGAGAGGCTTGCTAAAGTTCAGATTCCTGGCCCGGCATGGTGACTCATGCCTGTGATTCCAGCACTTTAGGAGGCCGAGGTGGGAAGTTTGCTTGAGCCCAGGAGTTCCAGACCAGGCTGGGCAACAAAGTGAGATCCTGTCTATACACAAAATAAAAAAATTAGCTGAGCGTGGTGGCACCTGCCTATAGTCCCAACTACTGGGGAGGCTGAGGCAGGAGAATCACTTGAGCCCAGGAGTTTGAGACTGCAGTGAGCTAAGGTTGTGCCACTGCACTCCAGCCTGGGAGACAGAAACAGACCCTGTCACACACACACACACCCCTCAGATTTCTGAGCTCTCCTCCTAGAGAGTTTGAGTAGTGGGTCTAGGAGGGAACCCTAGCATCTGCATCATCAGAAGCACCCCAGGTGGTCCATGGACACACTGGGAGACCCATTTCCCTGGGAACTCTCTGGCCCAGGCTCTAGCAGTAGGCAGCAAGGTTCCTTCTGGGTTAGAGATGTCAGCCTTTCCTTTCTTCACTCCCATCCTCCTATAAGGCCAGGTGTGGAGCTCTGCCTCCCTCCTGGCAAGCATTTTCTATGCTTTCTGGCAAGAGCAAAACTAAACCCTTTTTTCTTCCACTTCACTAGCTGGATGATCATACCCAAGCCAAAAGTTGCTCTTGCATCTCTAAACCTTCTGAGAATCTTTGCCAGATCCTTCCAACTGAGGCTTCCTAAGAACCAGGTTCCCCGACCTCTTGCACGGAAGGAAAAGGGGTCCTGGGCTTGATTCCCCAGGAAGTTTGAAGGTGGGTCGATTGGCCCGTTGCTGACCACTTATGGACCCCGAGGACCTGAGAGGGGAGCAGGTGGGCCAAGCCTGTGTGCTGGGCACAGGGAGGCGGGGGCTGCTGCCTGTTCCGGCCAACCAGACAAGGAGGCCGCCGAGGAGCAGCTGGTGCTGGCAGGAGGCCCTGACCACATTTTTCAGCAGACACTCCACTCTCTCTGACTCCTGCTTCTCCTGGCCCTGCATGCTCCAACAGCCTTGGTTTCTGCCTCCACCTGGGCTGGAATGCTGGGAGCTGAGTTAAAGTAGGAAGACTTGGAGGCTGTGGAGGCTGGGTCTGGGGTCTCTGCAAAGCTTTTCTTCTAGATTTCATCATGCTTGGAGTGGGAGGAGTGGGAAGTTCTTGTTAAACAGAAAAGTATGCTTTATTATTATTATTATTTTTAGAGACAAGGTCTCTAAAGTACAGTGGCATGATCATAGCTCAATGCAGCCTCGAACTTCTGGGCTCAAGTGATCCTTCTGTCTCAGTTTCCTGAGTAGTAGGGATTATAGGCATGCACCACCATCCCTGACTAGTTTTTAAAATTTTTTGTAGAGATGGGGTCTTGCTCTGTTGCCCAGGCTGGTTTTAAACTCCTTGGCTTAAGCAATCCTCCTGCCTTGGCCTCCCAGTGCTGGGATTACAGGCGTGAGCCCCCACACCTGGCCAAAAGTATGCTTTCAAGAGGAGGAATTCTACCATGAATGCCGCAGCTGGGAAGTGAGGAGAGGGCCTTTGGGCTCTGTCACAATTGTGACTTAATTGCTAATATCACCAAAGCTGGGCAGGATTCTCAAACTCATATGTCTGCAGAAGACAGGCTAGTGAGGTCAATGTGTGGACTGGGCTGTTTGGATGCTGGAGGATGAGAGACCCCGCAGTGGCCCCTTCCCAGCTCCTGCCACTGGTTGCCTCACAAAGATGTAGATTCTGTGTTAACAGTTCTGTGGATTTTTTTTTAAGAGGTTGGAAACTTGATTTTGCCGCAAATTCACATTTCTAGAAAACTGCAGGCCAAATAAAACTCATGGGAAAACTGTGTGTGGTCCTCAACCTTGTTTGCAACCCTTGCCCTAAAAGGATGTTTTGAGTTCCTCTCTTTGGAGGAATGTTCCAGAGAGGTGGAATGGGGTAGTTCCTACGATCCAGGTGTGGCCTGGCCTGTGATGAGCGTGCCAGCCACTGGCCCTCACAAGGAACCTGAACACTAGTTCTAGGAGAAACCTTAAGGCTCACCTGGTCCACATCTCATTTGTAAAGATGGGGAAACTGATGCCCAAAGAAGTCAAAGGGCTTTCCTAAAGTACGTAGCTGGTGAGAGGTAAAGTGGAAGGAGGGGCTAGAAGCAAGGTCAGTGGACTTAGTCCAGTGAGACCTCATAGGGATGGCAACAGAGACAGCCATTGGTTAGCCCAGGGCCGGGCCACAGCATTGCTCAATGGCATTGGTTAGATGAGTGTGGTAGGCTGAATAACAGCCCAAGGATCTCAGGTCCTAAACCCTTGAACCTGTATATGTTTCCTTAGATGGAGAAAGGGTCTCTGCAGATATGATGGGATGTTAAAGATCTTGTGATGAGCAGATTCCCTGGGGTTATCTCCGTGGGCCAATTTAATCATGTGTCTTGATAAGAGGGCTACAGAGGGAGCTCTGACTACAGAAGGGATGTCACCACGGAAGCAAGATGCTCTGCTCCTGGCTTTGAAAATGGAGGAAGGGACCACAAGCTAAAGGATGCAAGGAATGCAGCTTTAGACCCTGGAAGAGGCAAGGAAATGAGTTCTCTTCAAGAGCCTCCAGGAAAGAAGACAGTCCTGCTGATACCTTGATTTGATATCAGCCCACTGAGACCACTTCAGACTTAAGACCGTCAGAATGATAAGGGAATAAAGGTGTATTGCTTTCAGCCACCAAGTGTGGGGTGATTTGTTATGCAGCCATAGGAAGCTGATACAATGAATGAATGGGGGCGGGGACAGGGATGACAGTAGGGTGGTTGATGGGCCCACCCATGTGTCCAGCCTCACTGCCCACCACTCTCCCTCCACTCACTATGCTCAAGCCCCTCGAGCTTTCTGTCCTTTGCACGTCCCAACCCTGTTCCTGTCTCAGGGCCTTTGCTCCTGCTGTGTCTTCTGCTAGGAACACCCTTCCCTAGATGTCACATGGTTGGTATCTTCTGGCCTCAGTACAAATGTTGTCTTTTCAGAAAGCCCCTTCCTGACCCCCCTATCTAATGCTCTACCAAACCCCAAGCCCCTTTTCTTCAAATCACTGTTTTATTTCCTTCACAGCATGTACCACTATCTAAGATGATTGCATGTGTCTATTTATTTATTTATTTAGAGATGGAGTCTCATTCTGTTGCCCAGGCTGGAGTGCGGTGGCACGGTCTCGGCTCACGGCAGCCTCTGCCTCCCGAGTTCAAGCGATTCTCCTGCCTCAGCCTCCTGGGTAGCTGGAATTACAGGTGTGTGCCACCACACCTGGCTGATTTTTGTATTTTTAGTAGAGACGGGGTTTCACCATGTTGGCCAGGCTGGTCTCAAACTCCTGACCTCAGGTGATCCACCCGCCTCGGCCTCCCAAAGTGCTGGGATTACAGGCGTGGGCCACCACACCCGGCCTATTTATTTTTGATTTCTCATCTCTGATATGATTCTCCAAGGGCAGAGGTTCACCATGGAATTCCCAGGGCTGAGTACAGTGTCAGGGGCAGAATGGATGCTCATGGAACATTCATTCCATGAAAGGCGGTGAGAAGCCCCCTGGTTACCCATCATTTTTGGTGGGCGGGCAGGCTTATCCCATGGCTCTTCCTCAGAATAAAGGGCTGGGTACCCACCTGGCAAGACGGCAGGGACACAGATGGGGAGAGGGTACAAAGCGAGAGTAATCCCCAGGAAGGGTGGATGGGGAGCTGCTTACGTTCAAGTGGGCAAGATCAGAATAAAAGGTGGAAATTCAGGTTGAAGGCTAAGTTACTGGGCTTAGTTCCTTAATTGAAATATGCCCCAGCAGAGGGATTCCAAGCTCTGAGATACATCAAGTGTGGTCTGGGAGGAGTGCTTCTGACTCAGACAGTCCTGGAATCAATACTGCCATTGGTCATGCTGAGGTCAGTTCTAATGGAGAATTCTAACTAGCGTGAGTCCTCGAAGCAAAAACCGAGCCAGTCCTCTTCCCTGCTGTAGAGAAAGCCATGGGGGAACAGAATCCTTCCTTCCTTCCCTCCCTCCCTCCTTCCTTCCCTCCCTCTCTCCTTCCTTCCCTCCCTCTCTCCTTCCTTCCCTCCTTCTCTCCTTCCTTCCCTCCCTCTCTCCTTCCTTCCCTCCCTCTCTCCTTCCTTTCCTCCTTCTCTCCTTCCTTCCCTCCTTCCTTCCCTCCCTCCCTCCCTTTCTCTCTTCTTCCTTCCCTCCCTCTCTCCTCCCTTCCCCTTTTCCTTCCTTCCCTCTCTTTTTCCTTCCTTCCCTCCCTCCTTCCTTCTTTTTCCTTCCTTCTCTCCTTTCTTCCCTCTCTCCTTCCTTCCCTCCCTCTTTCCTTCCTTCCCTTCCTCCCTCCTTCCTTCCCTCCCTCCTTTCCCTTCCTCTTTCCTTTCTTCCTTCCCTCCTTCCTTCCCTCCCTCTGTCCCTCCTCTTCCTTCCCTCCTTCCTTCCCTCCCTCCTTCCATCCTTCCTTCTGTCCCTCCTCCCCTCCCTCGTTCGTTCTCTCTTCTTTCCCTTCCTCCTTCCTTCCCTCCTCCCTTTCCTCACTCCTGCTTTCCCTCCATCCTTCTTCCCTTCCTTTCTCCCTTCCCTCCTTCCTTTCCTCTCTCCTTCTTCCCTCCCTCCTTCCCCTCCTCCTTCCTTCCCTCTCTCCTTCTTTCCTTCCTTCCCTGTCCCTCCTCCCCTCCCTCCCTCTTTTCTTCTTTCCCTCCCTCCTTCCTTTCTTCCTTCCTACCCTCTCTCATTCCTTTCCTCCCTCCCTGCTTCCCTCCCTCCTTCCGTCCCTGCTTCCTTTCTTCCTTCCTTCCTTCCCTCCTTCTTTCCTTTCATCTCTCCTTCCCTCTTTCCTCCCTTCCCTCCCCACTTCCTTCCCTCCTTCCTTCCCTCTCTCCTTCCTTTCTTCCTTCCTTCCCTCCTTCCCTCCCTTCCTCCTTCCCTCCTTCCCTCCTTCCTTGCTTCCCTCCTTACTCCCTCCCTCCCTCCTTCTTTCATGCATTCTTCCTTGCCTCCCTCCCTCCCTCCTCTAAGGCCTACCCTGGGGTCAAGCTTGGAACTAAATGATGGGGATTCAGAGAAGAATGGAATGTGGTGCTTAAATGGTGAGACCATGGGTGGGAACCAGCCTTGGATGAAGGATGGGCTTTTTCATCCCATCCTTCACCCTCTCTCCATCTGTGCCCCTGCCGTGTTGTCAGGTGGGTACCCAGCCTTTTATTCTGAGGAAGAGCCATGGGATAAGCCTGCCCGCCCACCAAGGTTGCAGTGAAGAAGAAAGGGCATGAGGACCACAGAGCAAATGAAGGGGCCCTTCCATAAATGGGGGAGTCCCTCCTGTTGCTTGAATGAAGCTAGGTCTTGGGCATCTCAATGTCAGGCATCCCTCAGGGTGACCTGCATTCGCTACAACAGGCCAGGGGCACCTTCTTTAGTAGATGACACCCAAGGCCTCAGTTTCCCTTTCAGACTCTGAGAAAATATTCCAGTGTCTTAAAAAATGTGATGGCTAGAAGCCAAGTGCACTGTGGCCAACAATGCAATCCAGAAAGTCAGTAGAGGCCAAGAGTACGAATTTGGGGTCAAGTCCTGGCTTTGCTACTTGCTAGCTGTGTGATCTGGGACAAGTGACCATACCTCTCTGAGCCCTGGTTTCGCCATCAGGAAAACAAAGTGCTGTGCAGAGAAAACCAATTAATTGACATAGAGACTGTAGCATGGAGCCAGGCTCACTTCTAGTGCTCCATAGAGATTGACCAGACTCATAATTATAAAACGTAGGCTTGCCACAGAAGGAGCTTTCTTCTCTGCCTCCGACAACTGAGCTGATTCTCTGGGGTTGAAATTGACTTCCATTCCTCCAGCCATATTCTCTTGCCTAGTGTCCCTTTAATTTTTTATTTTATTTTATTTTATTTTGAGACAGAATTTGACTCTGTCACGCAGGCTGGAGTGCAGTGAGGCGATTTCAACTCACTGCAATCTCTGCCTCCCAGGTTCAAGCGATTCTCCTGCCTCAGCCTCCCAAGTAGCTGGGACTACAGGCACGCACCACCACGTCTGGCTAATTTTTTTTTTTTTTTATATTTAGCAGAGATGGGGTTTTGCCATGTTGGCCAGGCTGACCTCAAGTGATCCACCTGCGTCAGCCTTCCAAGATGTGGGAGTACAGGCATGAGCCACCACACCTGGCCTGTCTCTTTAGTTCTAGACACTCACTATGAGGCTTCTAGGTAGAACCAGGAGAGCATCCTGTGGCCAGTGCTGTGTGACCCTGGGTAAGTCTTTTACCTCTCTGAGCCTCGCCCTCATCTATGAAAGTAGGCTGAAACTACACATCCTACTTACGGGGCAGAATTCAGACACTCTCGGAAGAGGTTGACAACTATTTGTAAGTGACCAAGTGCTCTACAAGAGGGAGGGGTTATCAGAGCAGGGCGAGGCTGACCTGCTGGTCCAGATGGACACTGGATCGGGGACCTTGGCCTCTTTGGAACCCTCCTTCAGGGCAGCAAGCTGAGTAACCTGGATATTCTCTTACACGCAGCATTTTAAAGTGACCGCTCCAGCCAGGCACGGTGGCTCACGCCTGTAATCCCAGCACTTTGGGAGGCTGAGGCGGGCGGATAATTTGAGGCTAGGAGTTTGAGACCAGCCTGGGCAACATGATGAAACCCTGTTTCTACAAAAAATATAAAACAATTAGCTGGGCATGGTCTCAGTTACTTGGGGAGCTGAGGTGGGAGGATCACTTGAGCCCAGGAGGTAGAGATGGCAGTGAGCCATCATGGCGCCACTGCACTCCAGCCTGGGCTACAGAGCAAGACTCTGTCTCTAAATAAATAAATAAATAAATAAAGTGACTGCTCCCAAGTACAGAAGGTGCTGAAACTTTGGGATTCACTATCTGCCTTCCCCAAACCCCCTCGTATTGCTGCCACTGCCTGCTGGAGCCACCTTCCTCCTGGGATGAAGGGATAAGACTGTCTTTAGAGTAAACATCACTTCTCCTCCCACGTAAGTGCCACCATCCTGAAACTACAGGGACGTCCCATGGGGGAATGGAAGAGATGTGGCAGGAGATTAAGCCTGTTTCCAAGAGGAAAGAAAGAAAGAAAATGGGGACAACAGAGCAGGAGAGACAAGGCACTGCTGAGAAGCAGTGATGGCTCCCACCTCAGCTTGGCTCCCCGACTGGCGTGTGTGTCCTGGATCTGGGGCTCTGGGACTGGTGGGCTTCACTGTCACCCAAGTCAGTGGGTTTTCTTGGGCCAGTGACTTCACCCAGCATCCAGGATGCCAGTGCTGATGCCCACCCCGACATGCAGCCTGGATGGAGAGGTCACCGGGAGGATGAGCATTTTCCAGGCAGCCGTGTGCTCTAAGCGGCTTGAATCAAGCCAGGACTGCCCGTCACAAGAGTGACCCCGAAGAACATTCTAGCTCTGGGATTCCAATTCCTAACTTGGGACACTGATGCCTAAAGAGGTCCTTATTTCAGCCCCTAGGAGGCCATTTGGTAATTTGTGGAGGTAGTTTTGGTTGTTACAAGGATGGAGGTGGGGGTGCTCCTGGCATTGTAGTAGTAGGGAGGTGGCATTAGGGGTGGTGGTCCTCCTGCAACGCCAGGAACATGAAGGAAGAGAGTCTTGCATGCCACATGATCTCTGGGACTTCACACATATAAAAGGCAAGCTTATATTCCCGGGCTGAGATCCCAACTCTCTCTTGTATAAACACGGCTTTAAAACAGACTGAATTTTCCGTGCAGTAAATCCACTGGGTAAATTAAGGAAAAATTGATTTACCCATCGTTTTATCAGGAGTCATTCACTATTTTGGAAAATTGCATCACCAAGGCGACGCTGCTCATGGCATTTGAGCCAAAACAACACACCTGTGTCAGTCTCTGCTTCTGATGCTGTTGTGTTTGCTGTGATTCTATGCTTAGGCGCAAACATCTGATCATTCCAGTGCAGTCGTGTCTGAGCACTGATATGTTAAATTACAGGCTTTTGAAATTATAAGTTACTTTTATGAGGTCCCCTTCATTTTATAGTTAATGGCATTATATTAGATTTTAAAAATATGAAGTGCGAGTAGCACTTCTAACTGGATCCATGAATTAGCATCCAGTTAGTAAAGACATTTAAACTGCTATCCATGAATTAGCATCCAGTTAGTAAAGACATTTAAAAATATGTGTTAAGAAATGGGGGTGCTGGCCGGGCATGGTGGCTCACTCCTGTAATCCCAGCGCTTTGGGAGGCCGAGACGGGCGGATCACCTGAGGTCAGGAGTTCAGGACCAGCCTGGCCAACATGGCGAAACGCTGTCTCTACTAAAAATACAAAAATTAGCCAGGCGTGGTGGCACATGCCTATAATCCCAGCTACTCGGGAGGCTGAGGCAGGAGAATTGCTGGAACCCGGGAGGCGGAGGTTGCAGTGAGCCGAGATCATACCACTGCACTCCAGCATGGGTGACAAAGCGAGACTCTGTCTCAAAAAAAAAAAAAAAACAAAAAAACAAAAACAAAAACAAAAAGAAATGGGGGTGCTTTGAGTCCAAGCCATTGAGCAAGGAGGACACACACTATGATTAAATATCACTCATCCTTAGAACTGCTCACCTAAGTGGGTTTCACAGAGCCCTGTACTTGCTCTAAGCCACCTTCTCTAGACCTTGTTTCTCCTCTGAAGCAGGTTTTTTGGCCGCTTTCGGGCAAACCACCTCATCACGGTCACAGTTGAGATGGGTGACTAGTGGGAGGGCCGCAAGGGATGAGGGAAGCTGAGAGCTTGGATGCAGCCTCCTGAGCTGGGAAAATAGGTCTGCAGGGGCAGGACTCCATGGCAGGCCGACTTGTCCCTCCCTCTTCCTTGGGGAAACAAAGGCAGGACATTGCTTCCTGAGATGGCGTTTGGAGAGGAGCCCCTTGGTGCTTGGTGACACGAGGGCTCCCGTGAAGTCCTCCACATCACACCCAAGCCTAGAGTTCTGCACCAATCCTCGTGTCCCAGACTGTCGGCTGGGGGAGAGGATCAAACGAACTCCCTGGAGGGGAAGGACCCAGCTCCCAGTTCTGGAAGAGAGGGTGCACTGGGATCCTCTGGGGGACGTCTCCACATCGCATACAGAGATTCAGACTCCTGGAGTTCTGGGGGTGTGGCTGAAATAGAGCCCCTCAGAACTCTGATACTCACCCCTCCATGCCCACCTGATGCCCAGTTGAGAATTGCAATCAAGTGCATGGATATTAGATACGGCTGGGATTCAGCTGCCCATGGGAAGGGGACTCTGCTTATATAAAGTAAGACAGAGCTCCCATTCCACACTGGTGCTGCTCTTCTCAGGAGAGGGAGCACTGAGGGACAGGGAGCACTGAGGGACAGGGAGGGTGGTAGAGGATTGGGAGGCAGAGGTGGTGCTTGGGGGCAGCCTTTCGGGAGGGACACTTCCCAAAGCCTCCTGGCAAATAAGGCCAATGCCTTCCGTTCTGGATCCTACAGCTGCCTTAGGATTTAACTCTATGGCATGAGCTGGACTACTGGGAGACACAGCAAGGCCTCAAGATGCCACCTCCACTGGATGTGCTGCTGGAGGGACCCATGGGCAGTGGCAGCTCCCTGAGGCCCGGGTTCCAGCCTGGGAGGCCTCCTGTGCTAGTTGTGGGTAAACCAGGCTTCAAATCTCCCCCAGCCAGCAGAATCTTGAAGACTAATCCTGGCTACCCACTCTGGAAATGGACATCCAATGCCACAGAGTTCCCCACGCATGCATCTACCTCACTGAGACGTCACACAATGCTGTGTGTATTCGGTCCAAGACTTTTGGTCTTCCTCCTCCTGGGGATGAGGACCAAAGGTGCAGGGAGGACTCCAGGCTGTCCCCAGGGAATGTACCGAGGAAAAAAGGAGTAGGTTGGAGGGAAGGGGCTTAAAGGGAGGCCAGTGACCCTGGTTTCCCCTCTGCCCAGGGACTTGTGATGGAGCCCCTGTCTTACTCCTTGGGGGGCTCTTGGGTCTCACTGGAATTGGCCCCATTTTTGTCCAGGTGTGAGAAGTTAGGAAAACTCTGATGCACTGGCAGGCTGAGGTGGGCTGTGACAGACTGAGGGGCCATCAAAGGGCAGTTTGGGAGGAAGGTGCATGCCAAGCAGTGCCTCAAACACGTTAAGCACACTCCTACCTGAGGACTCTGCACAGGATCTTCTCTCTACCTGGAGTGCCCATCCCCTCTCCCACCCCCTAGAAAGCTGCCAGACTCCCTCCCTCCCTTCCTCCAGGCATTTAATTAATTAATTATGAGATGGAGTCTCACTCTGTGGTCCAGGCTGGAGTGCAGTGGTGCGATCTCGGCTCACTGCAACCTCTGTCTCCCGGGTTCAAGCTATTCTCCTGGCTTAGCCTCCCAAGTAGCTGGGATTACAGGCACCCACCATCATGCCTGGCTAATTTTGTATTTTTAGTGGAGATGGGGTTTCACCATGTTGGCAGGTTGGTTTCGAACTCCTGACCTCAGGTGATCTGCTCGTCTCAGCCTCCCAAAGTGCTGGGATTATAGGCGTGAGCCACCTTGCCTGGCGGTATTTAAATGTTGCCTTCCTAGTGAGACCTGCCCTAGCCTCCCTATTTAAAAGTTCTCAATATTTCTGATCCCATCCTTCCCTGCTTTTTTTTGTTCCTTTTTTTTTGAGACGCAGTCTTGCTCTCGCTCTTTTGCCTAGGCTGAAGTGTAGTGGCGCAATCTCAGCTCACTGCAACCTCTGCCTCCCGGGTCCAAGTGATTCTCCTGCCTCAGCCGCCTGAGTAGCTGCGACTACAGGCATGTGCCATCACGCCCAGCTAATCCCTTTCCTGCTTTCTTTATCTCCTTTACATATATCCCTAACAGACGGTCATGCATCGCTTAATGACGGGGACACATTCTGTGAAATGCATCATTAGGCAATTCAGTGATTGTGGGAACATCATAGAGTGCACTTACACAAACCTGGATGGGAGAGCCTACTCCACACCTAGGCTATACGGTGTAGCCTAATGCCTCCAGGCTACAAACCTGTACAGCATGTGACTGTACGGAATGCTGCAGGCAACTGTAACACAATTGTAAGGATCTGTGTATCCAAACATATCTAAACATGGAAAAGGTACAGTAACAATACAGTTTTATAATCTAATGGGATCCCTGATACATAAGCGGCCCTTTGATGACTGAGACATCATTATGCACCTGTAGCACATGACCTCATTACATATTTATATATTTATCTTATTTACCACCAGTCCTCCCCACTATACTGTGAGCTCCCCAATGGCAGGGGATTTGTTGATTTCATTCATTGCTCTACCCTAGAGCTTAGGACAGTGCCTGACACACAGTAGGTCCTCAATGAACATTTGTTAAATGAGTGAATGCAGGGGTCTGGGGAGCTACCTTAACCCAGGCCCCCAGATTGTGGGGGGCGGAATGTTCCTGAAGATCTCTAAGTGCTCTGAGGACACTTTGGGGTTCTTGGGGAAAGGGTTGGGAAATCTTGGCCTGGATTTTTTGGTGGCCTCAGACTGAGCCTCCCTCTGGGTATACCTAGACCCACCCTGGCAGCACTGGGGGCTGTAACGTCAGTGCCAGACCTAAGATGCAAATGGAAGGGGGACAGAGAAACTTCTCTCTGTGTTTAATCTCCTGACCCATTATTCTCTGACTGCCTGGCCCAGCTGCTGATTTTCTCCCCATAGAAGGAGCTAGCATCACCCACTCTGTTGCCAGCTTTCCACCTGCAGAGAATTGAAAACATTAATCTGGCAAACACAGAGGGCTGGTACCCAGTTCTTTAAGTTCTAGTCCCAGCTCCCACATAATCCCAGCAAGACTGCGGTTTTTAGGAACCGGGGCCAGTTCTAGACTTTGATTCCCTTCTACTCCTTCAGAATTTTACGCATCCTGGACTGGCTGCAATGAGGAGAAAGCTGATTTAAGCTAAGGGTTGCCCAGGGCTCAGCTCTTCCCTCCTGTCTTCCAAGGGTTTTTGCAGAGCCACACACCCCAGGGTGCCACGCACACACGCCTCCCACTTGCTAGGCAACCTCAGGAAGGGCAGCCTCCACTCCGAGCCTCCGTCTTCTCACTTGTGAAACATAGATTGCAAAAATGCAAGTAAGTTTCCTGGAGGATTATAGGGGATAAAGATGAGAAGACACACTGTCTGCTACCATGATGATTAATTCGCTCTGGGTTTTGTGACAAGAGAAGCATCCTAGAAGCTATGCCCTGTGGCCTCTTGTGAATGTAATTTTAAGTGAAGATCAAGGGGGCCGTCAAGTGGTTATGCAAAAACAGGTATCTGAGACAGCCCAGGTTGGCTTCTGGGCTATGAGGCTGAGTCTCAGTAGACGCACATGCACACACACAAGCATGCACACACACACACACACACACACACACACCCCTGTGGAGCTTACCTGTCCACCTGGATTCCCATATCTTTCATCTCTGCCTTGGCAGGTGCCCCTCCCTTGACCCCTCTGCTCCCACTGGTGAGAAGGCTCAGCACAGGCTCTATCTCCTTGAGCAGTTCATTGTTCTCCCCTCTGCCTTGGAGGCTGACTCTGGTTGCTTTCTTCGCGGGGTCCTGGCCTGGGGGCCTGGGGGCCAGGCCGTTGGCATGGGGGAGTGAGCCAGCCTCCTGCCCATCATCGTAGGCATGCTGAGGCCCATTCCCGGGACCCGAGGCCCCATCCACTGCCAGGGGCTGTTCTTTGCCGGCCGGTGGCTGGTGGGACAGATCCACGGCTTTGGTGGGGGGACCCAGGGGCTGTGTCACCCGGATGGTCTTGGGGGTCCCATCACCTGTAAAGGTGGTCTCCAGGTGCGTGGTGAAACCTTCAGGGCCCCTCAGAATGAGGACCACGTGGGTCTCAGAGGCAATGCCTCTGAGTACCTCCAGGGCGCTGTCATAGCTCAGGTCCACCAAGGGCCGGCCGTTGACCGCAAGAATGATGTCTCCGGCCTGGATGAGGCCACTCTGCTCTGCGGCGCCCCCACGAATCAGGTCAGAGATGATCACGGGCGGCTTACTGACCCGCTCCTTCACCAGAAATCCCAGGCCCCCAACTTTGCGCTTGAAGAGACGAACAGAAATGACATTGGGCTGGATTTGCTGAACACCGAACATGTGATCCTCCATGGTAACTAGCTTCCGAGGGGTCCTGTCTGAAGACCTCACAATGCTATCAGGCCAAGATGATTTCACCAGGAGGATCCAGGCTTCAGGCTACACGGAGAGCAGGAGCCGGGGTGACAGGTGCTGACAAGGCTTCAGCCCTCTCTGTCTTTGACGTCAGCTCAGCGTCACCCACTCATGGCTGGTGGCCCGTCGGTGGCATGATTTCCTGCATCCGCCTCTCTCCTTATTCTCTAAGGAAGTGATGGTTGACCAGGCAGACGTCAAGAGAGGCGGTGGGACGTGTCCCTAAGGTCAGGCAGAAAGGGGAGGAGATGCGTCTGATGGCTGTGTCTAGAAGTGACGCATGATAGATGTGAACTATTCTCTGGGTATCTTCATTGCCAGCCTGTTAGATGCGGATCAGATCTGAGGCATCATGAGCTGAAGAGGAAGAACAGGAGGGGATGAAAAGAATTTAAAAAAAGAGATTGAAGTAGAGTGCCCAACACCACCTTGAAAACTGAGATAGAAAATGCAGCCAATTGACAAAGTCTAGACACAAGACACTCCAGAATTTCAAGCCAACCTAGAAACAAAATCCTTCTTCCTGGAGGGGGCACCTTTCAAGGTTAGCTGCAAATTACCTAGTTTCACTTCCATGATCAAAGCCCTCTGGGACAAAAGGGTCTCCCTGGGCAAACATGGACAGTCAGCCCCAGAAATCAAGTGACGAGAATCAAAAGACCTCTCTTATCTCTTTCCCACCACGAGAGGTCATCAGTCCAACTTGTCAAGCATTCTAGTTGCTCTCTGTGTCTTGTATACATTTTCCATCCATAGCTCGGGGGCTCAGCTGGCACAGATTTTTGGGCTCTCTGTTCCAGCCACTCCCAAAGCCCAGTGGAACGGGAATGACACTGCCTTCCATGTACACAATGATGACGAATGTCAGTTGGCCTTCATAACCATTTTTGTAATTATTAGCTTGTTCCATGTTCAAAAGGATAGGCTTAGTCACACTACAAACATAAATACTAAGAAGATGGGTCCACACAAAATTGTGGAAGACACTTGTGCTCCACAGACAGCTGAAACTCTGATGGAGAAGGGGAAACATAGGAACATTGTAGGCACTCAATGAACATTCGTTGACTGAAGAAGGAAAAATCCCAAAGACTAAACACGGCAGACACTTTTTGAGCACGTTCGCTCTTAACACATATTTGTTATTTCTCCTTTGATCCTCACGATAACCCCTCAAGAGAAGAGGAAAGGGAAGCTTGGGAAGGTTCAGTAACTTGTCCAAGGTCACATAGAGAATAATGGCAGGGGGAGGATTTGACCTGGAGCCTGAGCTTTTAAACTTATACTCTAGCTCTTTCAAATTTATATTATAGTACAGGTATGGTGGCTCACACCTGTAATCTCAGCAGTTTGGGAGGCTGAGGTGGGAGGATCGCATTAGCCCAGGAGTTTGAGACCAGCCTGGGCAACATAGCAAGACCCTTTCTCTATTTATTTAAAAAAAAAATCAGGCCGGTCACAGTGCCTCACACCTATAATCCCAGCACTTTGGGAGGCCAAGGCGGGCGGATCACCTGAGGTCAGGAGTTTGGGACCAGCCTGGCCAACATGGTGAAACTTCGTCTCTACTAAAAATACAAAAATTAGCCGGGTGTGGTGGCGGGTGCCTGTAATCCCAGCTACTCAGGAGGCTGAGGCACAAGAATCGCTTGAACCAAGGAGGCGGAGGTTGCAGTGAGCTGAGATTACGCCATTGCGCTCCAGCCTGGGCAACAGAGTGAAACTCTGTCTCCCCTGCCCCCCGCCAAAATCAAATTTATATTCTAGTTATTTTCTTAACTCCTAACTTTCTCCCTGAAATGCTGGAATCTTGCAAGTCACTGACTCTCTCAGGCTCAAAGAAATGGGGTCTGGTTGGGGTACCAAAGGCCAATGGGGGCCCAGCTGGAGATGCTGTGGCCCAGGTGAGGGGCAAGCACCTGTAGCATGTGCCCACGGGGCCGTGTACATGCACAGTGTGGCACATCTGGGATGGGGCAGGTGATCTGTGGGTGTGGGTAGGGTGGGAAGTAGCCGCCCGTCCCTACTTGTAATTATTAGTTTGTTGCAAGTTCAAAAAGATAGGTTTGGTCACACTACAAACATCAATACCAGCAAGATGGGTAGGAGACATCAGAGAACCCTTCCATCTCTTTCCCTGCTCCCCACTCAAGTGCTACTTCCATCTCTGTCCCAAAGCCCCTTCCTGCCAGCAACCTCACCATGCTTCAGCACCAGGAGGGAGCCCCCATCTGCCATGACTAACAAACTGACACTCACTTCCTCATTTCCCTTTTAGCGACTTCCCAGGGTCACCCCAGGGCTGAGGCAGCTGACAAGCTCCTGCTGCCTCTGAGAGCAGAAGGTGGGTGCAGAGACCCCTCCCAGAGGGAGGTGCCACCTCCTGGATCCCCTCAATGGGGGGGTGTGTGGGGGGGATAATTAGCAAGTTCAGCCTCCCCTTTGCAGCCTGCATTACGTAACTCTGTCAGCCCCTCTGTGTGGGTGAGGAAATAATGAATCCCCGGGCTCAGCCTGGGCTGCGTTCTCCATCTGGCGTTGCTCTGTGTGTGTGTTTCTGTGTATTCATGCGTCGCCCGCGTGCTGTGTCATTTCTCTGCTGTGTGTGGCCCGGGTGTCAACCGGCTGAGTGTCTTTCGGCATCTTGCTGCTGGGTTCTGGTTTGCAGGGAAACCCATCCAGGACCGCTGTGCCCTTCTCTCTCCTTGCTTCCTTAACCCTCCCCAAGCCCCATGTCCTGCAGGTACCAAACCCAGGATGCTCACTGTTCAGTTGGTGGCAGAGACAGCCGGGACCTCCAGAGCTCTCTTGAGCATCCCGTTTGGCATTAAGGCTTAATTCTTTAATGAAAGAAGCAACTGAAAGGCGACCTCTTGGGGAGGCAAGGCCCCCAAGCTGACTTCCTCCAGACTCTGGCTTGGGCCAGACCTTACTAAAGGACAGAGGCGGGAATTAGCCTTTGGTGTACTTTGCTTAAGGAAAAAAGAAAACAGAAATGAAGCAATTGGCAACAGCCCCTGGCCACTCTCAGCACGTTCTTCTCTCTTTCTCTGCTGCATCCTAGAATCAGGGAGGGCTCTGGGCTGGTGCTTGGGAAATTGGTGTGCTGTTTCTCTCTCACACCTTGGCTGTAGAAAGGAAACTTGATCTTTGGAAGGAGTTGGAAGGAAGCTGGGCTGGGGAGAGGCAGATATATTTTCTGTCTGCTGAGAGACAGAGACAGAGAGGGAGGGAGACAGCAAGCTCTGGGTCTGAGCTCTGTCAATTAGCTTCTTTTTTTTTTAGACAGAGTCTCACTCTGTCGCCCAGGCTGGAATGCAGTGGTGCGATCTCAGCTCACTGCAACCTCCACCTCCTGGAATCAAACAATTCTCTAGCCTCAGCCTCCCGAGTAGCTGGGATTACGGCTCCCGCCACCACACCTGGCTAATTTTGTATTTTTAGTAGAGATAGGGTTTTGCCATGTTGGACAGGCTGGTCTCGAACTCCTGACCTCAAGTGATCCGCCTGCCTCAGCCTCCCAAAGTGCTGGGATTACAGGCGTGAGCCATTGCACCTGGCCGTCAATCATTATCTTAATAACAATTCCACAACACTTTCTCTGCCTCCTTTTCCTCCTGCAAAACATCCTCATCTATCCTATTTTTCATCCTTGTCCTGACCAACATCAGGTTCGGCTGTCCCCCAACTTTACAGATGAATAAATTAAGCTGCTATAAGGACACCCGCTTGTCCCGGTTTTTGAATGTCCAGTTTCCATGAGGCTCCGTAGGGAGAGCTGGCCGCCTCCTGCCCCAGGGAAGAGTTTTAAGGTCCTTCCTGGCTCTATCCGGGTGTTTCTGGGTGAGTTGTTTATTTTCTCTAAACCTCAGTTCCAAAATGCGGTCATTTGTAATCACCTCGTCTCTGAGTAACGGGGAGGGTTAAATGAAACAGTAAATGCAGAGAACTTGGCAATGTCATACAGTAGTGAGAACTCAGAAAAGTGGCTTCCTATTATTGTTATGTAATAGATAACGATTCGGACTTCCTGGCTTTTAATTCAGTGCACTTTCTACTCTGTCACTGTCCAGCCAAAGGTACTTCAGGCGCCATGTAGAAGGGGGCCCTTCCCTTGAAATCACACCGAGGCATCTCACGCCGGTCTGGGTGGGGGGCACCGTCTAGGGAGAGACGGCTGCTGGATAGAATTGCCTGAGAGCCCTGCCTCCGCCCTCAGGAGCTGGGATTTTAAACAAATCACATATGCATGCTTGCCAGGGTACATACCATGGAAACAATACTTGGACCCAAGCCTCATTCAAGTAGTTCAGTGGCTTCGGGTGTATTTATTGCATTTACCTTGCTGTGAGGAAATTAGTAGCTGACTATCGGGGATGGCTGCCAATGAGAGGGAGGAAGCCCAAATAGGCCAGCGTCTGCTACTCCCTCCTCTCTGTGCGACCTTGGCCAAGTCCCTCTCCACCCTGAACCTCATTTCTGCAACAGAAGGAAAGGTAACAGCAGCAGCCTCCTGTGGTTGAGAGCTTACTGTGCACTAAGCATTGGTGCCTGAGCCCTCTGCATAGGGGTTTTATTTAATTGTTACAGACTATATGAGAGAGAGAGAGAGAGAGAGAGAGAGAGAGAGAGAGAGAGACAGGGTCTTGATATCTTGCCCAGGCTGGTCTCAAACTCTGTGCCTCAAGTGATCCTCTTGCCTTAGTCTCCCGAGTAGCTAGGACTACAGGTGCATGCCACTACACCAAGCTAGTTGTTTTTATATTTGTAGAGACAGAGTCTCACTATGTTCTCGAACTCCTGGGCTCAAGTGACCCTCCTGCCTCAGCCTCCTGAGTTGCTGTGTCTACAGGCATGAGCCTCCATGCTGGGCCTTGTAAGCGCCATTTTTATCTGCACCTTACGGATGGATAAGGCAGATGAGGTTCAGGGACATAAATCAAGGAGGTAGACCTGGGTCTAAGTGAGTGGTCAATCACAGTCCTGAAAATAATCTCACAACACTATGCCTCCCTCCTTTTCCTCCACAAAGCACATCCTCGCCTGTGGATCTGGGTCATATTTGATTGCCCCATTTTATAGATGAGAAAACAAAGCTCCCACAGGGAAGCCTGCTTGTCCTGGTTTACCCGTGCTTTCCATTTTTAGCATTGAAAGATGAAGAATGTTAGGATGAAGAGGAGCCACCAAGCCTATCTAGTCTAGCTTCCTCATGCAGAAACGAGAAAACAGAGGCCTGGAGAAGCAAAGGGCTCATTCAACATGGACCAGCCATAGCTGGAGCATCCAGACCTGTGCTGTCCAATATGGCAGCCGCTTGACACACATGGCCATTGAGCACATGGACTGTGGCAGGTTCAGTTGCAATGTGCTGCAAGAGTAAAGTGCACATTGACTTTCAAAGACTAGTATGAGAGGTGATGGGTGCACCAAAATCTCAGAAGTCACCACTAAAGAACTTAGTCATGTAATCAAACACCACCTGTTCCCCAAAAAACCTATTGAAATAAAAAAATTTAAAAAACAAAAAACAAAGACTAGTATGAGAAAAAGAACATAAACATCTCCACGATGTTTACTGATTATATTTGAAATTATGCTGTTATGGATATATTGTGTTAAATAAAATTATTATGAAAGTTAATTTTCCCCATTGCTTTTCACTCTTCTTTCTTTTTTTGTGAGACAGGGTCTCACTCTGTCACCCAGGCTGGAGGGCAGTGGCACAATCTTGGCTCACTGCAGCCTCCACCTCCCAGGCTCAAGTGATCCTCCTACTTCAGCCCCCTGAGTAGCTGGGACTCCAGACACACGCCACCATGCCCAGCTAATTTTTGTATTTTTGTAGAGAAGAGGTTTTGCCATGCTGTCCAGGCTGGTCTTGAACTCATGGGCTTGAGCAATCCTCCTGCCTCAGCCTCCCAAAGTATAGGGATTACAGGCATGAGCCACTGTACCCAGCTGCTTTTTACTCTTTTTTTTTTTTTTTTTTTTTTTTTTTGAGACGGAGTCTTGCTCTGTCGCCCAGGCTGGAGTGCAGTGGCGCGATCTCGGCTCACCGCAAGCTCTGCCTCCCAGGTTCACGCCATTCTCCTGCCTCAGCCTCCCGAGTAGCTGGGACTACAGACATGTGCTACCATGCCCGGCTAATTTTTTTGTATTTTTAGTAGAGATGGGGTTTCACCATGTTAGCCAGGATGGTCTCGAGCTCCTGACCTTGTGATCCGCCTGCCTTGGCCTCCCAAAGTGCTGGGATTACAGGCTTGAGCCACCGTGCCCGGCCGCGCTTTTTACTCTTTTTAATGTGACTTATAAAGCCCAACATTACACACATGGCTTGCATTATATTGCCATTGGGCAGCATGGGTCTAGAGTGTGACCGTTGTTCTTTCTGTAGCCTACCATCCCTGGATCTCCTCAAGAACCTACTGGTAACAGCCAGGCAGAAGACACTTCTTAAAGTTTTCCCTTTTAAAGAAACCAGAAAAATGACAAAGAGGGTTTGCAAATATCACGTCACCTTTTGAAACTGACCTCTGGGAATAGGCATGGTGGGGGTAGCATGGAAAGAGAGAAAATCCACCCAGAACCATATGAATAGAGAGGTCATAGTAGAATGTCCCCTGGGCTAATAGTCCAGTATCCAAAATCTTGCTTCCAAGTGTCAGTTAAAATCTAACCCAGGGCTGTCATCCCAGCACATTGGGAGGCTGAGGCAGGCAGATTGCTTGAGGCCAGGAGCTTGAAATCAGCCTGTGCAACATAGTGATATCCCATTTCTACAAAAAACACAAAAATTTGGACAGGCGCGGTGGCTCACACCTGTAATCCCAACACTTTGGGAGGCCGAGGCAGGTGGATCACTTGAGGTCAGGAGTTCAAGACCAGCCTGGCCAACATGGTGAAACCCCATATCTACTAAAAATACAAAAAAGTTAGCTGGGTGTGGTGGCAGGCACCTGTGATCCCAGCTGATCAGGAGGCTGAGGCAGGAGAATGACTTGAACCTGGGAGGCGGAGGTTGCAGTGAGGCGAGATTGCGCCACTGCACTCCAGCCTGGGCGACAGAGTGAGACTCTGTCTCAAACAAAACAAAAAAAAACAAAACAAAACAAAATAAAAATTAGGCATGGTGACACATGCCTGTAGTCCCAGCTATTCTGGAGACTGAGGTGGGAGGATCAATTGAGCCTGGGAGGTTGAGGCTACCGTGAGCCAAGATAGCACCACTGCATTCCAGCCTGGGTGACAGAACAAGACCCTGTTTCATAGGCGGGAACTGAACAATGAGAACACATGGACACAGGAAGGGGAACATCACACTCTGGGGACTGTTGTGGGGTGGGGGGAGGGATAGCATTAGGAGATATACCTAATGCTAAATGACGAGTTAATGGGTGCGGCACACCAGCATGGCACATGTATACATATGTAACTAACCTGCACATTGTGCACATGTACCCTAAAACTTAAAGTATAATAATAATAAAATTAAAAAAATCTAACTCATCTGTACAATAAATGTGTCATTAAAGACAATGAGGCAGATCTCTATCTGCAAATAAGAAATGAACTCCAAGGTATACCATTAAGGTGCAAGCAAGTCAGTTCTGTATATGTAAATGTAAAGGTTATTCTGGAGGAAACGGATATCAATGGTTTTACATGAATAATATCAAAGAAAACAAAACCCAGCCTGCCTGTGAAGTCTTGACTCTTTTCAGTTTATACACCCACAAAATATCTGATGGAGTTTCAGCCCTGTTTCCCATCTCCCTCCAATCTCATTTAAAAACAAACTCCAAGTCCTCCAAGTCTTCAAAAACAAAACAAAATACTGCCACCCCCAACACAAACAAAAGACTGAAAGCGTAAACCCAACTGCGCTCTTTTAAAAAATGCAAAACCACCAGCTTCTTTACATTTCCTGAACTGCTAATTTGCAGTCTTTCCCCAGAGAGATCACCACCCAGGAATCAAGCTGAAGTGCTTTCTCCCATGCCGGTAAGTCATGGCGGCAAACCCACAAGTCCCCACAAATCTGGGGGTTAAGTTGACATTCTTTGCCTTGGGGATCCCAAAGACACAAGCATCCTGAGTCTCCTCAGCCACGGAATTCCCCCAGTTTCATGGCTACAGTTTGCCTATGATGATGTCAATCTTCCCACCTCTGATGCCCATATCTCAGAGGTAGTAACAGGCTCAGCTTAGAGTTACAAGCACGAGCATTAATGATTGTTTAAAATGTGACACACACTCTGTTGTCAAGGCTTTGGGAAATCCCACTCTCTTACATTGCTGCCAAATACAACCTCTTTGAATGGCAGTTTGACAATATCTACCTCCAAATTTAAAATACATATATCTTGGCCTGACAATTCAAATGTCAGGACTTTCTCCTGCAGGTAACCTGAAAGGAACATCCTTAAACACATACAAAACTCTTCTTTGCAGGGTTCTGAATATCTGAATATCAAGAGATTGAGAAAATCTTAAGTACCCATCAATAGAAGACTATTAAATCAACTATGGCACATCCATACAACGGAATTCTGGGCAGGCATTAAATAAGCAGGAGATTAGAGCTAAAAAGACCAGACCAGTGAGGAATGCTCTTAAAGATACAGTGTTAAATTTAAAAGCAAGGTGGAGCACACCCATTTAGAAATATAATTATAAGTCCATCCTACAGCTTCATCATGCATTCATCCATGTTTCCACATAAGCTTGGAGATGCACTGAACAGCTCTGGAAAATTATTCAAGATATCAGTACCAGTGGTTACTTCTAGGAAAGGGGGCTGGAAGGCTAGAAATTGGGTGGGAAGGAAGCTTACTTTTTATTGTATATTCCTTCATATTAGATTGCTATTCTTTATTTATTTATTTTTGAGACAGGGTCTCGCTTTGTTGCCCAGGCTGGAGGGCAGTGGTGTAATAACAGCTAACTGCAACCTCCAAGGCCTGGGCTCAAGTTATCCTCAAGCTTTGGCCTCCTGAGTAACTGGACTACAAGCACACACCACCGTGACTGGCTAATTTTTTAACTTTTTGTAGAAACGGTGTCTCACTATGTTGCTCAGGGTGGTCTCAAACTCCCGGCCTCAAGCAATCCTTCCACCTTGACCTCCCAAAGTGCAGAGTTTATAAGCATGAACCACTGTGCCTGGACTAAATTATTATTTTTTAACAATGTTTTTTGCATCAATTTTAAGAAAAGAGTAAGGTCTTTGAAGTCAGACTGTCTGATTCTCTACTTGGCTTTGTGATCGTGGGCAAGTTACTTACTCTCTCTGAGTCATAGTTTCTGCATCTATTAAATAGGGGTGATAATAGTGCCTACATAGATAGGGTGTCTGAGGATACAAAGAGATAATAGTTAATGTTTTCTCCTTTTTTATTTATGTATTTATTTTGAGACGGAGTCTCACTCTGTCACCCAGGCTGGAGTGTGGTGGCGCAATCTCGGCTCGCTGCAACCTCTGCCTCCCAGGTTCAAGTGATTCTCCTGCCTCAGCCTCCTGAGTAGCTGGGACTACAGGCACCCGCCACCACTCCTGGCTAATTTTTGTATTTTAATTTTTAAATTTCTATTATTTTTATTCTTTTTTGAGACGTAATCTTGCTCTGTTGCCCAGGCTGAGTGCAGTGGCGTGATCTTGGCTTACTGCAACCTCTGCCTCCCAGGTTCAAGTGATCCTCCTGCCTCAGCCTCCTGAGTAGCTGATATCACACCTGGCTATTTTTTTTTTTTTTTTTTTTTTTGTATTTTTAGTAGAGATGGGGTTTCACCATGTTGGCCAGGCTGGTCTCGAACTCCTATCCTCAAGTGATCCACCTGCCTCGGCCTCCCAAAGTGCTGGGATTACAGACATGAGCCACTGTGCCCAGCCAATAGTTAACGTTTTCTATGTTATTACAATGCACCATAGACTAGGTAAGTGCCCAGGAAATGGATCCTTTTACCACCACTATTACTAATTATCATCACGTAAGCAGTCATTTTTCTATTGAGCATCCGTAGTGTCTGGTGGATGTGCTGCTTAAGGCACTTTGTGTTGAAAGACCAGGTAAAAGGTACGGACACGTGGACTGGTCCTGTCTCCCATGGGAGTCGATGACTGTCATTGGCTCCTTTTCGGAATGCTGCAAAAGCAGGATTCAGTTTGTCGGAACACGGCACATGAAAGATGCATCCAGAAGCACTGAGGCCCCAGAACTTGGTGGTGAGTCAACACCACTAGGGCGGGATGAGGAGGACGGTCTGGTTCATCACAGGGAGAGAGCTGCAGGGCTGTCATCCCGATGTTAGAATAGATCTGGGGAATCACAGAGTCTTCATTTCAGCTTCGTTTTGCAGAGCTCATTTACTTGAGCTAGTTCGGCCAACGGGAGACCAATATATCCATCCATCATATGACAGAAAATTTCAGAGTTTGGGGCTAAGGTTCTTAAGTTCCTTCTATCCATGGACGCTTCAGTGGCACAAAAGCACAAAAGTGGCACAGATGCACTTCTGCCTCCCACCCTTGCCCCTACATACCTGCCCCATTGCTGTAAATGCTGTGTGGGGGTCAAAGGCATGAATTTGGAGCTAGAAAAACCAGGGTTTGTGACCCACCTCTGCTGCCTATTAGCCTCAGATTCCTCATCTGTAAAGTGGGAACAATTCTGGTTTCTGCCTTAAAGATGGAAACCAATAAATCACATGGGATAATTTAAATGGAAGTGCATTAGAGGGGATAATTCATCTATAGCATGTGGTACTGTTGACTATTATTTTTAGAGTCACTTTAGATTACACATCAAGATAATTGAACCATTTCAGGCTAGATATGCAAACATAATCATGGCCAAGAGGACAGCCTCATTACTATAAAAAGGAAACATATTATCAGCGGTCTCGGAAACTTTTCTTAACAATCATTAAAATAAGATGGCACATATTTTCTAACCCCCATCAACATTATACTCTTTTACTTTTTTTTTCCTCCCTCCCTCTTTCTCTCCTTTGCCTCCTCTCATCTTTTCTTTTCTTTCCTTCATGCCAACCATTCATTTGCCTACTCATACATAGCTCTCCCCAGGACAGGGCAGTCAGCGTGGAGCTTGCATTGGGATTACAGGGGTGGATAAGATAGACAGCATCCCTGCCCTCAAGCTTACAACCTAGGGTGGAGGTAGTTGGAGATTAATATTAGTGATAAAAACAATGAGTAGAACAAAAGCGAAAATACAGGGTGCTAACGAGACCTTGCATAAGGGACATAACATGGTCTGGGTGGTGGTGGTCAGGGAAGGCTTCCTGGAGGAAGAGTCAGGATCCAGAGTTGGCCAGATAAGAAGGTGGATGGAGGAAGTGAGAAATGGAGGACAGAGACCAGCGTGTGAGAAGGCACTGTGGTAGGATGGAGCTGGCATTGGGGTGACAGAAGAAAGCCATGTCACGAGATAAATCTGGAGAGGTCATCAGGGGCTGGATCATCAGGTCTCTTGAAAGGCAAGTTAACAATTTTGGACTTTATTCTTAGAGCGATGGCAAGCATTGGAGGGTTTTGAGACAAGAAGTACAGTGGTCAGATTTAGATTTTATGAAGATTACTCTGGCTGCTGCTGGATGGCAAATGGGTGGGAAAAGCAAGGCTGGGTATGGGGAGCCTGGTTAGGAGGCTGCTGCAGGCCAGAGATGAGCAATGATGGTGGTTAAGGATCAGGTGGTGAAAGGGAGGAAGGAAGGAAGTGGGTCGATTTAAGAGATGTTTACAAGATTGAGTCAACAAGATTTGGTGACTAATTGGATACAGAAGCTAACGGAGAAGGAGGTGTCTGCAGTGACCTCCCAGCTCCTGGCTTCCACTAGTAGAAGGAGTGTGAAGGATTTCCTGAGAGAGGGAAACCTGAACAATGGGGTAAAAATAGGGTGAAAGGGCTGGATGCCTGTAATCCCAGCACTTTGGGAGGCTGAGGCGAGAGGATTGTTTGAGGCCAGGAGTTCAAGACCAGCCTGAGTAATATAGTAGGACCCCCATCTCTACCAAAAAAAAAAAAATTAACTACGATTGTGCCATTGCACACCAGCCTGGGTGACAGTGCAAGACTCTGTCAAAAAGAAGGAAGGAAGGAAGGAAGAGAGGGAGGGAGGGAGGAAGGAAGGAAGGAAGGAAAATGGGGGTGAAAGAAAGAATAAGAATGAATGAAATTCATTTCATAGAACTGTCTTTCATGAATAGTAATAATTTAGTTGTGGTCTAGTATATTGCAAGAATCAACATTTCCTAATAACGTCATTTCCATAATTCTGAGAATTCAGCTACAAAAAATATGCTCAATTTGGCTCAATTCCAAGCTTTGCCATTTATAAGCTATTTGATCTTGGATAAGTCATTTAACATTTTGACTCTCAATTTCCTTTTGTGAAATCGAAACAGTAATAACAACTAGTTGCCAAGACTTTCGTAATGATTAAGCAAGATGGACACCGTAAAGGGCACTTTGTAAACTGTAAATGTCAACTATAATGACAATGTTGAATGTTTATTTTTCAGGGAACATAATAACTGTTTTCTCCAAATTGCACATCAGTGTTAACTTGAGGCTCAATCAAATTTCTCCTCTCATGCCTGGCATCCTTGGGTGCTTTCTGGTGTAGGGGAGCTGAGTCAAAAGGCTGACAAAAGGTGCTCAGGGAAGAAAAAAGAAGTAAGAATAACTATTTTAAGAGAGCAGTAATAAGATTTGTTCCCTTCACTCGAAAGTTGCCTTTACATAGATCCACAACATCCATATAGGCCTGAATCAGTTACAAATGAATTTCAGTAAAGGGAAAACATGTTAAATAGAAAACATAAACTACAATGGCAGAAATAATTCCACATATGTCAGATATACCAGTAATAACAATAAATGCAATTGGGTCAAACTTGAGTAAAAGATCAAGACTCTTCAATTGTATAAAATGTATTTGCAGTTGCCCTACCTTAGTATGAATGTGTAAACTAGTACCAAGGACAGGAGGGAAAATATTCATTAAGGCAGGCCTGAGCCTAGTATACATTTGCTGGCCACATGGAGCTAAAGCACCACAGGTCTGCTTTCATCTGCACAATATAATTGACTTTCTTCTTAGAATATGTTAGCACCTAGTAAGCATGAAATAAGTATTTGGTGAATAAGCGCTCAACTATTCACACTGAGTACTTATTAGGTTGAAATATATGAAATTAACAGTTTTGCAAATGATCAACTTTTTCAATTTCGTACAGTTCAACTTAATATTTTGAGCATTTTTATATGTAAGCACTTTATTGGAAGATCTCATTTTCATTCTTGCAACACGATATGAACATGACATGACATTATAATTCCCATTTTATAGATGTTAAAATCAAGGCTCAAAGACATTAAGTCATAGGTTATGCAGCTAGTGTCAGTGGTGGGGACTCAAGTCAAGTTTGTCTGAACTCAACGTCTTTGCTTTTCTAATGTTCTAAGTACTGCTATATATTTTTAGCTCAATTCTACAATTTTAGTAATTGAAAGTTGAAAGAGATGCTAGGGATTTTCTACTCCAATTCACAATATTGATTTTATAAACCTCCTACAGGGCTCAGGGAACCCTGAAAATCCTGAAATTGTGTGCACAACTTTTGTGATACGTGCATTTATATGGGGAAAACAGGCCATGGCATTAATACAATTTTCCAAGTATTCCATTACACAATAAATAACAAGGGTAGAAGTCACTGGTTTCACATTACATTTTGGAGATGAGGAGCTACAGGCTCATAGTCAGGAAAGGACTTGCCTAAGATTCTTAGAAACAGAGTCAGAACGAAGATCAAACGCGGGCTATTATGATTAATTCTTGCTTGCTTGCTTGGTTGCTTGGTTGCTTTCTTGCTTTTTTTTTTTTTTTTTTTTGGCAGTGTCTCACTCTGTTGCCCAGGCTGGAGTGCAGTGGCACAATCTCGGCTCACTGCAACCTCCGCCTCCTGGGTTCAAGCAATTCTCCTGCCTCAGCCTCCTGAGTAGCTGGGACTATAGACGCCTGCCAGCTAATTTTTATATTTTTAGTGGAGATGGGATTTTGCCGTGTTGGCCAGGCTGGTCTCAAACCCCTGACCTCATGTGATCCGTCTGCCTCGGCCTCCCAAAGTGCTGGGATTACAGGCGTGAGCCACCGCGCCCGGCTGCAAGATGCTCTTTCTGTCTTGTTATGCTGGAACTTAACAATTTAAATTATTGCCCAACAGTCAAATATTGGCTCACCTCCCTTCCTGGTGAAATACCTCCAAAAATTATCCGCCTCCTGAGGATCGATAACAGGGTATCTGAAGATACCACTACAAGTGAGATGAGGGGACAAGGCTAACAGATTCTAGTCACTTGTCAAAGTAAATGTTTAAACAATCAATTTCATAATTAGGATAAGAAGCTTAAAATATATATTTAGTGCTGTAAGGGAACCATAGATGATAATGTACTTTTTCAAATAAAAAATCAAATAAAAATAATGATTATGGTATCAGAGACGTCTGCTACAATTCCTTCATTTACTCAGCTTTTATCAATTAACACTTAGGGCTGGGCTCAGTGGCTCATGCCTGTAATCCCAACACTTTGGGAGGTTAAGGCAGGAGGATTATTGAGCCCAGGAGGTCGAGGCTGCAGTGAGCCATTATTGTGCCACTGGACTCTAGCCTGGGTGAAAAAGCAAGACCTTGTCTCAAACAAACAAACAAAAAAACAACCACCTGTGCATAGCACAGGACTTGGCACATAATAGGTACTCAGTGAATCAGGGTCTCAATCTCTAAGTCTACAGCTATTGAATGAAGCAGCCCTGTGAGAGGTGAGAGGGAGCAGTGGGGACTGTAGAGAACTGGAGGGCCCATGCCGTGTTTGGAGAGCAGTTCCAGCCAGTGGTTGCCATGCAGAAAGCCAAGACTGGTCTCACTTCACTTCCTGAAAGCAGCTGCAGGGAGGTGATGGCATGGCCCATTACAAATGAGTGAATGAATGAGACTTCAGACACTTGGTTAACAAAACTTGGATTCAGGCCAGGTGCCGTGGCTCACGCCTGTAATCCCAGCACTTTGGGAGGCTGAGGCGAGCGGATCACCTGAGACCAGGAGTTTGAGACCAGTCTGGCCAACATGGTGAAACCCCGTCTCTACTAAAAATACAAAAATTAGCCAGGCGTGGTGGCACGTGCATGTAATCCCAGTTACTCAGGAGGCTGAGGCAGGAGAATGGCTTTAACCCGGGAGGCTGAGGTTGTAGTGAGCCACGATCACACCACTGCACTCCAGCCTGGACCACAGAGCGAGACTCTGTCTCAGAAAACAAAAACAAAAACAAAACTTGGATTCAGAAAAAGGAACGACAATGTGGGGTGGGTCTTAATGGAGTTTGCAAAACCACCAGCGATGAACATGGTCTAATGCTTTGCTACCCAAAGCGTGGTCCATGCACCAGCACCAGCAGCATCACCTGGGAGCATGTCAGCAATGCAGAATCCCAAGGCCCAGCCCAGACCTATGACTCAGGCTCTGCATTTTAGGAAGATCCCCCAGTGGATTTATGTGCACACTGGAGTTTGAGAAACACTGGTACGGTTTGCTTCTAAAGCCCCGTGTGACTTTTTGTGACCTACACAAATGGCCATTTTAAAGGAAATTTCAACTTCAACTCAAACTATCACCTGTTCTGCACAAAAAATGCTTCAGATCCAGGATATCACATTCTTCAATCAGGCTCTGGTCAGATTCTATCAAAGACAGCCCATAGGTATACAAATGAATTGCGTTTGGTTAATACAGTTAAATTTTTTCCCCCAAATTTGTTATCACCATTTAAAAACTGGAGGTTTCAGGCCGGGCATGGTGGCTCACACCTGTAATCCCAGCACTTTGGGAGGCCAAGGAAGGTGGATCACTTGAGGTCAGAAGTTGAAGACGAGCCTGGCCAAGATGGTAAAACCCTGTCTCTACTAAAAATACAAAAATTAGCTGGGTGTGGTGGTGCACACCTGTAGTCCCAGCTGCTTGGGAGTCTGAGGCAGAAGAATTGCTTGAACCTGGGAGGCGGAGGTTGCAGTGAGCCAAGATCGCGCCACTGCACTCCAGACTGGGTGAAAGAGAGTGTGACCCTGTCTCAAAACAAGGAAAAAAAAAAAAAGAAAAATAAACAAACAAACAAAAAACTGGAGGTTTCATCAAAGATAGAAATTTCTGGCTTTCTTGGAGCCATGGAAGATATGTTTACACTGGGCCTGTGTTCCTGAGCACACTCCAAACAGCTGGAGTAGGTGGTGGCGCCTCCCCCTTTAGGTGGGGCATGAGCTCTCTGGTTCCCCTGCAAAACCCTGTGGCCCCCGTCATTCATTTGTTTCTTGCAAATAAGTATTTCACTATAGGCCTTTGACTGTGGGACCCCTGCTAGTGAGTGAGTTTTAAAGGGCAACAAGGAAGGTCACCTTCAGAAGCTACTCAATGAAGGGACAGCATGCTCAGTGACTTGGGTCTTGTCCTGGGTGGTTCCAGTCGATCCAGGTGTTTGATGGGATCCCCACCTCCGCATGAGATCACAGCATCCACCCCAGCTTGTGCCCTGGGGCTGATACTCAACACTGACCTTGTTCTCCCTGGGTTAAATCTACTGAGAGTGACGCAGCACTTTGCACGATCATCTTGAAGTCTGAATCTGTTTCTTCTTTCACTTTGGGTGTGCACCAAAGCCCTTCCTGGAGTGACACCTTTCTGTCTAAATTGGGCTTTCTCTTTTGATGTCAAACCAGTCCTTGCATACTCATTCTAACAGGAGCTGAGTGGAATGCAACTTCCTTCCTCCATTCCAAGGGAAGATTCAGTCCCAGATCCCCTACATTTTTTTTTTTTTTTTTTTTTTTAGTGACTCTACCTGGGGGTTACCTGAACTGGCTTGGTCTTTATCTCGTGTTGCACCAGCACACCTGGGAAGCCCCTGGAGGACACCCTACCTCGACACTGCGGGACACATCCCCACCTGAGTCAGCTTTACTGAACAGAGCTCTGCAAATAACCCCTGAAATAAAAATCACAGAAGAGAACGGTGTCACCTTCAACAGTCTATAAGCTGATGTCGCAGAGGTTGGAAGGAAGGGTTAAAGGGGAATGTCATGGTTCAGGATCACAGGCATGGGATTCAAATCCTGATTCTGTCATTTACTGACACGTGACTCGGTCAAGGGCTTCAGCATCTTGGTGCCTCCGTTTCTTCATCTATAAAATGGCAAAAAACAATAGTCCTGAATCTACTTTGCAAGACTCTTGTGAAGATTCCATGAAGTAACGTCATGTTTCCCATGCTGCTCTTACCAACATCATATCTTTGCACCATACCTGTGTCTCACCTATGCAATTATTTATTTAATATTTTCCCTTACAATGAACTCACTTTCTATCTTAGATACTATAGCCTCATCCTAAAAGCTAATATCCACGAAATCGTCGTATAAATTTGCTAACTGCTTTTTTCTATGATCTATCAAAACAAATATTTAATGAGTAAATTTTTTAAAAAATGGCTCCTTGATCTAATCATGAAAACACATGGAACAAATTCACACAAAGTGGCACTGTAACTGACCAGTCATCTTCAAAGGTGTCAAGCCCGTGGGAGACAAGGAAAGACTGACAAACTGTCACAGATCAGAGGAGGCAGAGAGAAATCAGCGCCGAAAGCAATGTGGGATCCTGGAACCGAAACAGCACAGTAGCGGAGAAAGTGGTGCAATTCGAATAGGGTCTGTCGTTTAGTTAATATCATGCCATTGTCAATCTTCTGTTCTTGATAATTAGATTATGGTTATGTACGATATTAACATTGGGGAAACTAGGTCAGGGTATAAAGAAACTCGTTGTACCATATTGCAACTTTTCCGTGAATCTAAAATTACTTCAAAATAAAAGTTTTTCAAAAAATGAGTATCAGTAAAGTGGTTGTTCCTTTTCCCTTCTCCTCGCCCCCTGGCAACCACTAATCTGCTTTCTGCCTCCGTGGATTTGTCTATTCTGGATACTGCATATAAATGAAATCCTACAAGATGAGGCTTTTTGAGTCTGGCTTCTTTCACTCAGCATCACGCTTTTGAGGTTCATCCATGTTACAGCATAGATCAGCACTTCATTTCTTTTAGTGGCTGAGTAATATTCCATTAGATAGATGGATAAGCCACTTTTAGTTTATCCACTCGTCCATTGACAGACATCTGGGTTGTTTCCACCCTTTGGCTATCGTGAATAGTGCTATGAACACACATGGGAAAGTTTTTGTTTGAATACTTCTTTTCAATTCTTAAGAAGTACAAGGTTCCCTTGTGGGGTAATGGAGATGTTTTGGAACTAGATAGAGGCAATGATCACACAACACAAATGCTACTCTAAAATGGTTAATTTTATATTACATGAATTTTACCTCAATGAAATAAAACAATAAAAAATGGGTCCCACCAGTGGAGTATCCACCATATTTTGGAAACCTGTGCTTATACAGGCCCAGGGCTTAGCATGGTACCTAGTCTGTAGCAAGTACATGAAGAACATTGGCTGGTGTTATTATTCATTATTTTGAGACTGGGTCTTGTTGTGTTGCCCAGGCTGGAGTGCAGTGGTGTGATCATAGCTAACTGCAGTCTCGAACTCCTGGGCTCAAGGATACCCCTGCCTCAGCCTTCTGAATAGCTGGGACTACAGGCACGAGCCACCACACTTGGTTAATTTTTTATTTTTTTTGTAGAGATTGGGGTCTTGCTACATTGCTTAGGCTGGTCTTGAACTCCTGAGCTCAAGCAATCCTCCCTCCTCAACCTCCCAAAGTGCTGGGTTTACAGGTGTGAGCCACCATGCCTGGCCGGCTGGTGTTATTATTACTGCCAGAGACACACAGACTCTCAGCTCCCACTTCAGAGTTTTTTTCTACAGTATCATTGTCATTTCCACCAAGAAAGTTTCTCCAAGTTTAATCTACAACTCTCCTTGGAAGTCAGCAGTAAAATCTCAGGATTCCTGAGATGCTATCATTAGAAAACCTTGCTTTGAAATCTATGAACCTTTTGTGCTTTGATAAGACTTGCATTCCTGGCTAGCAGGGCACAGCACGCCATTGCCATGGGACGATGTGTGACGTGCTCACGGACAATGCAGAGTGGGCATTCAACAGGCACTTACTAGTTACCTGTTGACTGCACACCAAAGCTATTTCAACAGATTATTCAATGAGTCACACCTCCTCAATTAACTGGGTGCTTTATTTAGGACTCCACCCTACAATTTGCAGGCTAAGTTGCAATGCCCTGGAACTGTTCACTTGATTTTATAGTACCCACTCCCATTTTCTCAAAGTACCTTGTGTGTTTGAAATGAAAGCAAATGCCTGATTTATTTTAAGGATTTCATAAGGACCCTACAGAAAACTGAAGACACACCAGCATGTCCTGGATCCAGGAAGCAAAATGGAGACATTCCAGGATGTCCCAACTCAGGGAAACTTCTTTTTGCTCAGAGCTGATGAACTGGGATTGGTCTTACTCACCATTATTGGTGAACTCTTCCTCTTTCCCCCCATCTGTGCTAGTTGTCATCCTTTGCCCCCAGATTCATTCTCCAAACTTATCTGGGCTCCCGAAGAGGCTGACCTCTATGGACATCAAAAGGTCTCTTGGCCGGGTGCGGTGGCTCAAGCCTGTAATCCCAGCCCTTTGGGAGGCCGAGGCGGGCGGATCACGAGGTCAGGAGATGGGGACCATACTGGCTAACACGGTGAAACCCCGTCTCTACTAAAAATACAAAAAAATTAGCCGGGCCTGTTGGCGGGCGCCTGTAGTCCCAGCTACCCAGGAGGCTGATGCAGGAGAATGGCGTGAACCCGGGAGGCGGAGCTTGCAGTGAGCCGAGATCGCGCCACTGCACTCCAGCCTGGGCGACAGAGCAAGACTCCGTCTCAAAAGAAGAAGAAGAAAAAAAAAAGTCTCTTGCCCTCTGGCATCTGATTGGGTTTGGCCAATGGGATGTGGAGACAGGAGATGAGGGAGAAGCCGAGAAGCCAGGGTATTTCTTTCTCTGCTCTCTCCCTCTCTTAGTGCTGTAGTCTGGCAGGGTCTGCATTCCCTTCTGAGTATAGCTTCTACAGGGACCCTTCCCTTCGCCAGCACCCCCACTCCATTCCACCACCCAAAGGGCTTCGGTAACACTGTCGCTTCCCCCTGCTCCTTCAGGCCTGGAGTGGCAACTGCTGCCCTGGTTGCTAGTCCCTGAGTACTTAAGCACCCCTTTGTTGGTGCCTTAACCTGTGTCCATAAGCTGCTCCTTAATTAAATTACTTGGAAATCCCAGCTGCAGGTGCCTTCTGTTTCCTGCTTAGACCCTGACTGACAAATCTTCACCTCCATTGCCCCTTGGGAGGAGGGATGAGGAATATCAGAAGGAACCTGGATAGTCAAGGGCATGACATGTCTAAGCCAAGTCATCCTAATCACCAACCTCAACCTTGCCAAGAAACTGATGGAGTAGCTGCATGTGCCAAGCATTTAATGGTCTCAATAATGCAGTGAAGTAGAATTATTCCTGTGTTTACAGAAGAGGAAAATGAGATTTACAGAGAGATTAAATAACTTGCCAAGGTTACAGAGTGAATAAATGGCAGTGGTTGGATTTGAACCCAGCTTTGATGGGCTTCAGAATCCTGCCTCTTCTCCATCATCCAGAGGGGTCTAAAGTGTTCAAGAACCTGCTGAGCATGGTGGCTTACGCCTGTAATCCCAGCATTTTGGGAGGCCCAGGTGGGTGGAATGCTTGAGCCCAGGAACTTGAAACCACCTTGGGCAACATGGTGAGACCCCGTCGCTACAAAAAATTAGCCAGGTGTGGTGGTGCACACCTGTAGTCCCAGCTACTCAGGAGGCTGAGGTGGGAGGATCACCTGAGCCAGGAAAGTTGAGGTTGCAGTGAGCCATCATCACGCCACTGCACTCCAGCCTGGGTGACAGAGTAAGACGCTGTCTCAGAAATACATACATACATACATACATACATACATACATACATGCATACATAATACAGTGTTCAAGAGCCGATGTCATGGCACTGAACACTCTGGAGGCAAGAGGCGTGGGCCTGGGGGAAAGCTTGCTATCACTGAGAAGGAGGTCAGAGCTTCAGTTCTGCACAACCCTCTCAAGCTCAAGTGCATTCAGGCACGCCTGGGCTATACCGCCAGCCACGGAAAAACCAACTTTGGAAGCTATTCCAGGAACAAACCTCAAGCTCATTTCTCAGTCCCTCAAGAGGCCCTGAGCCTGTTCTGTTGCTGACAGAGGGAACTGTCGCCTGCTCACTGCTCAATGCCCCTGATGTAATGAGCACCGCCAAAGAGGGCTCGATTGGGATGCTAAACAGCCGTAAATGACATTGTCACCAGCCTTCATAAAGCATGGTGACTCACAGCCCTAATTAAAATGCTGAGGGAAAAATGTAAAGAGAAACTGCCATGAAAAACAGTGACATTCTGCTAAACTGCAGGATTATTTCTTCCAGGAAAAAAGAGGGAGAGAGAGAGAGATGTGTGTGTTCATGAGTGTGCGTATATGCATGTGCACATGTATTCGTGTGTGGGAGGTGAGGGGATAGAAACGAGAAGGCTAAATATTATTCTCCAAAGAAACTTGGAAAAATTTAACATGGAGGAAAGTTGAAAGCCATTCTTGCCTCCCAACTTTATGATAAAGTATTTAAACAGAAAATGTAAAAGAATGGTGTAAAAACACCCATAAACTTTCAACTTAATTCAACAGCTATTAGCATTTTCATATCTACCTACTTGTCTTTCTCTATCAGTCATCTATCTATCCATCCATCCATCCATCTATCCATCCATCCATCCATCCACCCACCTACCTACCTATCTACCTACTTACCTATCTACCTACCTAGCTATCTATCCATCCATCCATTCATGTACCTATCTATCTACCTACCTATATACCTATCATCTGTCTATCCATCTATCTACCTACCAATCTATCTACCTACCTATCATCTGTTATCTATCTATTCATCTATCTATCTACCCATCTATCAATCATCTATCTACCTACCTATTCTATCCTCTAGCTATTATCTATCTATCTGTCTATCTATCATCTATCTACCTACCTACCTCTCCATCTATTATCTACCTACCTACTTACCTATCTTCACAATGAACCATTTTAGAACAAGTTGCAGAATCATGATGTCTCAGCTCTAAATTCTTAAGCACACTTATCTTCAGCGTAGAGACAGACTCCCACAAAACCCACAGTACCATTATTACACCTAAGAAAATTAACTATATACTGTACTTGCACAACTTCCCCAAATACTCAGTTAAGGTTGTTTTCTAAACAATGACAATTCAAGTCATAAGTCTCATCCCTGTTGGTTAGGAGAGAGAAGCAGACAAGCTGTTTCCCAGAAATAGGTGTCAAGGGTTCTTGCGAAGGAAGGGTTTTAGCATCATGTAGGCTGGTTCCCATCATCAGAGTCACAAGATGAAGTACATGGGGCACAATGCTTGACTTAGATGTCAGTTTTGAACCAGATAGGGAATCCTGATCACACCATATTGTTTTTTTAAAATAGCCCTCCTCTAAACGAAAACTAAATCTCCACATTTTGGGCTGGGCTCAGGCCTGTAATCCCAGCACTTTGGGACGCTGAGGCAGGAGGATCATTTGAGCCCAGGAGTTCAAGACCAGCCTGGGCAACATGGTGAGAATCCACCTCTACAAAAGCAAAACAAAACAACAATGAAAAAACCAATGAAACAAACAAACAAAAACCAAATCTCTGCATTTCATCCAAGGTCATCACCCATTTTAGCCAAAAAAATATGTGGCTCTCAATGACTTCTTGCTGTTTCTGAAATTCAACTGCATCCTCAAAAGCCCAATAAGATATCACTAGTAGGGAGATTCAGAAAGAGATATCATGCTTTCTGAAGGCAAGTCTTGAAGAAGGGACCCTCAAGAAATCCTACACCTTGCCGGCAGCTGGAAGCGAAAATATTTATCTACGTATATGAGTTTGGCATGTTTGTTACAAAAATCATCAAAATCAATAAAAATATCAAGCCAAGAAACCCACCCAGTCCCATTATTTTATACCATGCTTTGGGAGAAAGAAAGAGATTCCATTTCAGTGACTACCATGATATTAGAAGCAAAATGATAACTGAAGGTATTGCCAGCTAAGACTTATAACAAACAAGCACATCGATGCTATTGACTGTGTTCATTACCTGTTTTCTGGCACATGAACATAACTGGCTTTCATTTTTCTTACTGAGTATTCCAGAGCTGAGATACTGCTTCAAAAAAATTAAAGAGAAAAATATGCCCAAAATATGTCAGTTGCTATCGAGTACTATTCTGATTTATCCCCGGAGGTTACTTTTTTTTTATGCTGAAAATTCCTGGAAATGACATAGAGCCCAATGTGATCCATGTGGCTGTTTTAGTGACTAAATAGGATGGACTGCCCACATCATTTACCTCACTACATCTAGTTATTGGTGAGTGGATGCCTGTTTTGGACACCATGAGCTACCTTGAGGGTAGGGACTCTGTCTTCCCTTTCTTTATGAGGAAGCCTCTCTTGTGGGGACTGGCACAGAGCTGGGAGCTCAGGTTGTGTTTGTTAAATGAAGAAGTGGTTAACTTCACTCTCGTTTATGACAAGAAATGCTTTAGCTGGGAAACGACGGTTGTACACGGATACTATCTGAAGTTGCGTAAGCTTTTTGAATTCACAATATTCCTTCTTCATTTCCAACTGGAAATGGGTTTCAGAAAGGCTCACCTTTTTAATCCTCATGGTAGCAAAATTTAGCTGTCAGGTTTTGAATAAAGAAGAGATTCTCGAGTATTATTTAATGCCAGTGGGCAAATGTTCCCAGCAGAAGCTGAAATGCTTTTCAGGGCACCTCTGAAAATCTGTAGGCTCCCAAAGCATCTTGGATGGTCAAAAAGAAAAGGCTCATCATTCCCAGGAAATCCCAGTCTTAGTAGGTAACAGGACATACAAATAAGAGGTGGGAAATGCCCAGGCTGGAAATGGGAACTTTGCCCCTTGCAAAGGACTTCTGTATTTTCCACCTGAATAGGGCCACCTTTCTCTTAGGAAATGTCAGCAGAAATCATAAATGCAATTGATGGATGATAATTGGGCCAATGTTGCTCTCAGGTAAGGCAGAAGATGTTAAAGCTGAAAAGGTCTTTGTGGGAAGTGCGTCCTGGGGTTGTAAACTAAAATGCCTCGAAGGGCCCGGACAAGCAAATTAAACAATATTGAATGGTGAGGCTGGTGACCTAAAGGAAAAAAAATACTCTCCAAACAAAACCCAACAAAACAATGCCCCCAATCCAAACAAACAGAGAACAAAAAAAAGCCCTCTGCCAGACTAACAGAACATATCTGCAGGTCTCTGAAGGGAGATGCCCTTTAGTTCCAACTCCATTTCACAGATAAGAAAACAGAGGCTGAGCAAGAGAAAGGGGCTCAGACTACACCAACTGGCTAACTCTTTTTTATTTAAAAAAATTAATTAATGAATTAATTTATGTATTTTCGAGACAGGTTCTGGCTCTGTTACCCAGGATGGAGTGCAGCGGCACAATCTCGGCTCACTGCAACCTCCGCATCCTGGGCTCAAGCTATCCTCCCACCTCAGCCTGCTGAGCAGCTGGGACCACAGGTGCACGCCACCACACCTGGCTAATTTTTTTGTAGAGATGGAGTCTCACTCTGTTTCCCAGGCTGGGCTCAAACGCTGAGCTCAAACAATCCTCCTGCCTCAGTCTCCCAAAGTGTTGGGATTACAGGCGTGAGCCACTGTGTCTGGCTGGCTCTTTTTAAAATTTCTTTTCTTTGTTATGATCACTGAGATGGGCTGGATGCTGTTTCCTTTCCAGAGTTAAACACACACACTATCCCATTAAATCCTCCTAACAACTCCCTGTAGTACTTATAATCTCTGCTGTATGAATGACATGCTGGAGAGTCAGAGATGTTAATTCTCTCACTCTGAGTCACAGAATCCACAAGTGCCCAAGCTGGCCTCTGACGTTTCCTAAGATGATTCTCAGTGTGAGGCCCTCCCTTTCAACCTGGCTGCTGCTGGCCCAGTTTGGCACTGGGGACCCCAACCCTGAGAGGGTGCCACAAATCAGGCTATGGGCTTTGATGCTACCTCCTCTGAGAAGTCCTCCCTGATTCCTTCAACCACCTGTCCTGGGTCCTACCACAGCACCTCACCTCCACCTCTCTTGCAGAAACTTCACGCCAGGTACAGGGTTTGTCTGGTGCTCACCGCTTAGCCAGACTACAGGTTTCATTAGAATGGGGCTCACACCACCTTTATCTGGGCACCTGCCCTTGGGGTCTAGCACTGGCCTTGCCATTTAACACGTGTCATGACACATACAATAAATGTGCTGACGTCTGCTGCCGAACAGCCCACGATAACTGCTGTTCATCCTTAGCATCATACGACTGTGCCAAGACCCATGTCCACTATACCCTGTTAACCATACTTGAATTAGAGACTTAGGGGCACTTTCTGTTGACACGTCATTTTCATTTAAAAGATTCGAATGGGCTCAATTTTCCAGCATTGCCAGGTGCTGCTCATCATTCTTCCACCTTAAGAATGGGCATGTGAGCAACATAAACACACTTGCAAAGGCTGAGTGGAAGGCCGATGGGCTGTGGAAATGAACTCAAACCAATGGCTTTGGTGAAATCAGTGGTAGTTAAACTGGGTTTATTAGCTCTGTGATTACTTCTTTGCAGAAGTTATACCTGATAGGTCACTTATAAAAGGAATTTTTCTAGGCCTGGCGTGGTGGCTCACACCTGCAATCCCAGGACTTAAGGAGGCCAAGGCAGGCAGATGGCTTGAGCCCAGGAGTTTGAGTCTGGCCTGGGCAGCATGACAAAACCCCGTCTCTACAAAAAATACAAAAATTAGCCTGGTGTGGTGGCACAGGCCTGTAGTCCCAGCTACTCGGGAGGCTGAGGAGAGATGATCATTTGAGCCCAGGAGGTCGAAGCCCCTTCCCTCTGAAAGGGAGAGATCAAATAGTGGGGCTAATGTCCAAGATTAGATGGGAACTCAGGGCTGACACCCAGCAAGGTCAAGGTGGGAGGAATTATTTTCAGTCTCCTCTGAGCAGTTGGTCTAATTTAGAATAACAACCAGAAAGATGAAATTAAATTTCTTTAAAGTCCGGCATTTACGGGGCTTGTACTGAAGGAAACATGAAGTTATCATCGATGAGGATTGGACAATAAGTCAAGACACTGAGGTTCTATCCCAGCTTTGGCAGTAATGTGCTGTGTGACTTTCATCGAGTCACATGCCTCTTCTGGGCCTCAGTTTCCCAATTTGTACAACGAGGGTGACAGACAAGAACTGAGAGTATTAGAATCTCCTGGAGCAACCTTGTTAAAAATAGAGATATTTCCAGTCTCCCCCAGGAATGCTGATTCGGTAGATTTAGGGTGGGGTCTGGCATCTTTGCTTTTAACCAGGGACTTGCTGTATTCTGACACTAAAGGTCCACTGGGCTGATGTTTGGCGTTCGCTGGATTAGATGATGTTTAAATGTTATCATATATTAGAACGAGGAAAATGGTCATGTCTGTAACCTATGTGGTGTTAACTACACAAACCCACACTGATCCATGGCAGGAAACATGCCCCTCTGTTCAAACAATCCAGATTAAAATGGGTCCTGAAATGCCAAATTCAACTTCCACAAATTCCAGTTTCTAATGGGAAAAAGCCCCAGTTCTCACGAGCACGGATTGTTGCCTGTGGCTCTTAACCACATTCCAAGCCCCGCACAGACCCACAGAACCTGAGTGACAGGCAACACATGAAGTCTTGTCATAAGACACCCCAAAACATCTGCAGATTGTGAGCGCAACAGGCACAGCCAAACCTGTCTGTGCTCACAATATGCAGGCGAATTGACCTCCAAATCTTCCTGCCTCCTGGGAAATCAGCGGCCCCCCAGTGGGGAAGTTTCTGGACAACTGACTGAATGGTACCTCGGACAACTCTTTGCATCTTACTCACAGAGACCCACTGGGAGCAGCCTAACCCATCACAATACCCCCGCCCTCTCACTCTTCTCCGTGCGGTCCTTCCCCAAGGAAGATGGAGGCTCCTGGGGACTGGCTTTGGCCATTTGGGAAATATAAAGAGGAGACAGAAAGGGCAAAAAGCGGGCTGCTCTGAAAGCCACGATGACACTATTGGCCCCAAATGGCTCCATGGGACACTCTTCCCTCTGTTTCGGGTTCCCTTCCTTCCTTACAATCACCAGTCTTGGCATACCAGCATTGTTTCCAGAACCCCTTTCACATACATCATCACAGAGTCTTCAAAACAGCCCCGTGTGGGAGTTACTGTTCTCATTTTACAGATAACAGAACTGAAGCTCAGAAAGGTTAAGTGATCAACCTGAGGTCACACAGCCATGGAGTGAGCTAAGCTTGGCCTCAAGCTGAGGTCTTCACCAGGTCTCTCTACCACACTGCTCACTCTTTCTCTACATGATTTGGGACTTTGGGGAAAAAAATCACACAATTTGTGGAGACAAAGCCATGCCCCTGACCATAGCGTTGGCCTCTGGCTGAACAGATGTATCAGGAAATACAGCTGTGTGTGCTAAGGTTCAGGCACATGCCAGACTGCGTAGATGCCCAGATGCATGCAAAATGCCCCAATTAAGAAGCCGAAAATTGGGGTTGAGGTCTCGGGTAGTGCCACTTACCAGCTAGGTGACTATGGCTAGGTAGTTTGGTTTGCCCCACCTCAATTTCCGCAGCTGCAAAATGGAATTCAGATGGCTGCACTGGCAACCTGAAAGTTAAGAGGCTCCAGGTGAATAATACGTGTGACAGTGCCTTGGAGCTGTCAGTGGCAGAGCCGTGCGCCCCTCAGGGCGCTTCTGAAATCCAGACTAGTGGAAAGGGGCCGGGGCCCGCCGTGGCGGTGCTGGTGGGGCGGACACCCCCTCCTTCAGGGACCTGCCGAGGCTTCTCAAACCATCCGCTGAGATGCCTTGAGGGCGGAGAATGGACGCGACCCCTGCGCACTTGGGGAGCTGCCACAAGAGCCCTTTTCCTATTTTATCTTCAGTTCTGAAAAAATAACGGGGGAAAAAATCTATGCTCCAGAGAGCTGCGTCAGTGTTCCCTGGTGTTTACGAATTTCTTGCGTTTGCCCCGACCCCAATTAGAGAAGCACTAAAGAAAGGCAGCAATTTTCCCTCATTCCTCTCGGGAGGAGAGGTCTGGGGTCTCCTTTCTGCTGTCTCCCAATGTCGTGGGCCGCCAGAGGTGAGATGAGGCGCCTATGGGCGCGCTCGCCTGCACCGCACCCTTGCCTAGCGGCGTCCCTGGGGACCCTCCCTCCGTGGTGGCTGCGTGCGCGCTTTTCTTAGGCCTGAGCGCAGGGTTTGAGCTGGGCTATGGGAGTAGAGGGAAGAATCCCATGCGTCTTTCCCAGGATTACTGGGGTAGAGATGGAGGCGAGAGCAATCTTCCGCAGCCTGTAGTACCCTGTGGGGTAGACCCCCCGGTTCCTACTGGTGGGGAAACCCTAGACCTGCGTGCGAGTCTCCCAGATCCGGTCCCAGAGCATTACAATAATGGTTTTATATATATATATATATATATATATATATATATATATATATATATATATATATATATATCAGCAACACTTCCTGCGTTATGAACGCTTACCCTGACTTCATATTCACATTTATGATTTTTTAAGGTCCTCATGACAGCCCCACGAAAAAGGTAGTTTCTCCATTTTACAGATGAGAAACTGAGGCTGGGAAAGATGAAGAGACTTACCGAAGGTCACGCAACAAGTAAAGGGTCGATCTAGGACCAGAACCCAGGGGAGTCACTGGAAAGGTTCCTGCCCTCCTCGGCTGCCTTCTCCGTGAGAGCCTCTCCTCTCTAGATGTCTACCCCAGACAGCCTGATGCGGAGCTTGGAGAGCCATGAGCTCTCTGGTCACAGTGCCCTGGGGGTGGGGGCGAGCGTCTGGCGTCCTCTGGGGCGCAGTCCCGAGAGAGCCCCTTCCGGGACCTCGGACGCAAGGCCCCTGAGTGGCCCTGGAAGTTGGATCCCCCGGGGACCCTGCTCCGAACCCTGGCCACCTGGAAGCAACCTCATCGAGCGCTCCTTCCACTGCCCAGCCCCGAACCGTGGCGGAACGCGCCCCTCGGCCTCCCTAGAGCCTCCTTTGCGGGAGAAGCACAACTTTCCCAGGTTTTGGAGACGGCGCTCTTACACCCCAATCTCGCCCAGACGGAAGAAGTGAGAGGTGCGGGCGGCCCCGCCATGACCGCGGGAGGAGAGCGCAAGGAGGCTCCTCGCAAAGTTGGAGGCCAGGCCGGAGCGATGTTCCGGGAGCGGAGCCCTCCCAGCCTCGGGCCCCCAGCCGCGGACAGCTGGCAGTGCCAAAGACTCCGCCATTACCTGCGGCTCGCAGTTGCGATTCGGCCGCAGAGTCGGGCACCGAGGAAGGCGTAAAGTTGAGCTTGGGCAGGTACAACGGTCCCCAGGGACTGGCATCCCCCAGCCCGGGCTGCCCGCGGGAGGGTAGCGAGCTGTGCCAAGGGCTCCGCCATTACCGCCAGCGCACAGCTCGGAGCCAAGCGCGCGGCTGAGGAACGACTAGGGTCTTGCAAAGTTGGAGCCTGGGCGCGTAGACCCCCGGACCGGAGCCCCCGGCCTGAGGCCGCCCGCTAGGAGGAAAATGAGGCCGCCCGAACCAAGTTGGGACGCGCAGCAAAGCCCGAGCCTTCCGCGCACACCAGGGGCTCGGGCGGGAGCGGGGAGCCCTGGGGACGGAGAAGGGGCGCGGGACGCCTGGATCAGGAACTCACCTGACGCCGAGCCGGGCAGCGCCGAGGCTGCCTCTTCGCGCTGCGCACCCGCCCGCCCGCCTCGTACTCCTCCTCTTCCTCCCGGGCGCCCGCGGCCGCCGCGCTCCGGGTTCTGAATCCTCCGAGTCCGCCGCCCCGCGCGGCTGGAGGGCGCCGGTTGCACCCACTCGCCTCCTGGTAGGAGCCGCGCGCGTCCCTCCCCTTCCCCTCCGCTTTGTGCCTCCAAGATCCCTCCCCACCCCCTCTCCCCTAGCCCCCACTCCTCCCTTCTCTTCTTCCCTCCCCTTGCGTCCCCTCCCTCAGCCTCAGCGAACCCAAGTTCGGGACGGAGGCTGCGGGCTTCCCCGGCGCAGTGCTGGGCGCCCCGCGCGCGCCCCTGGCTCACCCCGTCCGCTCGGCCGCTGCTCGCTGCCCGGCCGCCCCTCGGAGGAGCCGCGGCGCTAAGTAGCTCCTCACCCAGCGGCTGGAAACGCGGCATAAATATGTAGGGACTGAGCCGTGAGCTCAGCGAGGGTCGTGAGGGGGAATTTATTTCTTAATGTCCCTCCTTTATCCTATCATCACTGAAACGAATTAGCAGTGACGTCCAACCCGACTGGTTTATGGGTGTGGGGAGGGAGACGTCGCAACCCTCATTAAAAGAGCCGCTCTGGGCTCCAAAGCATACATCTTTTATATAACCTAATTTCCATTTTTTTTTTTCTATCAGGAAACACACACACACACACACACACACACATACACACACACACACACACACACACACACACACAATGACAATTTCTGGGAGCCTGGATAGGGCTGAATGTAGTAGCCACGCAGGGCAGGGCAGGTCTATTTGGGCAGAGAAGGCCCCATGGGAGGCAGGGATGGTTATTTCTGCCTCTACATCAGTGTTGGGATAGCATTCCTTAATGGGACAGTGGAACACACAGCCTCCCAGGCTGGGCAGTGCTGGGAGCCCCTCCCAGGAGCCCGCAGAGGTTGCAGCCTGGGTTCTGGCCTTGGCTCTCGGGTGGACAGACGGAGAAAAGCAGCCTGTTCAGGAAATGTTGCCTGGTTCTGGTCTTTTCTGGAGCCACACTCAGGCCTGGCATCTGGGGAGAGTGAAGGATGGAGGGCACATGTTCATCTGTGGCCTGGGAGCCCCACAGGTGTGGAGAGGCCAAGGTCTGGGCTGGAGGAGGGAAGACACAGAGAACGCAGCTTCCCTTCCTTTCTTAGGGGCCCTAACATATGGGTAACCATATAAACCCGACTCAAAATCTGTCTTTTCCTGGGCAGATTGCAAAGGATTTTGCATCTCCCCGTTGCTGTTGCTGCTGCTCACACAGTCTTGGGAAAACGGGGGAAAATCAAGGAAAGAGAGGACACACACACGCGCACGCGCACACGCGCACATACACACACACAAACACACACACACACACACTTGGCACCTGGCTCTGGGTGATTTGATCTTTTCCTCCTCCCCAGCCTTGCCAAGCGGAGCAAACCCACTCAGGCTTCGAGTTGCGCAGAGAAGAGGCAAAGAGGAAAACCACCACCCCCTTTGTCACTAATAAATGCTTTTCAGATCGTCTTGCACATCCAGCAGGGGAGGGGGTGTGTGACTTTGGGGGCAGGAAGAAGGGTGTGGGGGATGAGGAGGGGAGGAAGGAATAAAGAATAAGCTGACGAGGGTGCCTGGAGGTCTATGCTGTCTTCCACATGCTGGAAGGAGGCCTGGAGAAATGCCACCAGCCCCAGGGCTCTGCCACTTCCTGGCTGCCACAAGGGCAAGTTTCAGAGCCTGTTTCCTGAGCCATGGATGGGCCTGGGGATGTCGTGAGGATATACACAATGAGATGATGCTGGTGAAGCCCTTGACATGGTGCTAGACATATAGTAAATGCTCAGGAAACAGTTGCCAACAATAATGGTGATTTTGATGATGATGAGAATAATCCAGCATACAGGCTGGATGGGGGGTGGGTCCCAGAAAATTGAGGCTGGAGCTGAGTCCTTGCAGTCTGGTCCCCTCCTGTTTTGGGTCCAGCGTCCCTTGCCCGAACCATTTCAAAGTTGAGCGCTGGGTTTCAGTGGTGTCATTCTCAGAACACTGCTCCCTCAATTACCATGGCAACTGGGGAAAATCAGGAAGCTAGGGGAAGGGAAGCTGCTCTTCCACTGGGCTGGCGGTTCACCTGCTCAAAACAGAGTCCACGTCTGCCTATGTGTGGGTCAAGGCCAAAAGAAGCTCAGAGTAGGGGCACTTCCTCTCTGGGAGCACAAGCTTTTTTGAAATTGGGGAGAAGGGTGGTTGGGAGGGGATGCACGGCCACGAGATGGTGGAGATAGTGGGGTCGGGCCAAGGCTGGCTGTGCCTGCAGAAGGCAGAGTTGGCTTGGGTTTGGGGAGAGGGGGACAGAAACCCCACTCCCCTCAGTTCTCTCCTCACTTCCAGGTGCCCTGGTGCGATTAAAAGCAAAGCCTTAGAATGTAGCTCTTGAGACAGAGATCTGGGAAGACAGAGCCTCAGAGCCCACGGGTGGAGCCAGGGACCATGAGGTGCCCTCTGTGTGTGTGTGTAGATGAGAGACGAAGACAGACAGACAGACACACACACACACACACAAACAGAGAGAGTCAGAGAAGAGAGAGAGGCAGAGAGATTTATAGACAAAGAGAGAGACAGAGACAGCAGAGACTGGCAGAGACAGTGAGAGACAGAGATAGAAAAACACACAGAAAGACTGGCAGAGAGAGAGAGATTGGCAGAGACGGAGATAGAAAAAACACACAGAAAAAGAGAGAGACGGAGAGATTGACAGGAAGACAGAGACTTATTGGCAGAGACAGAGAGAAAGACAGAGAAAACAGAGGGAGACAGATTGGCAGAAAGAGAGTAAGAGAAGAGAGAGGCAGAGGGATTTGCAGAGAGAGAGAGACAGATTGGCAGAGACAGAAAGAAAAAATACACAGAGAGACATATTGGCAGAGAGAAAAAGAGAGACAGAGTAAGAGAAGAGAGAGAGGCAGAGAGAGATTGGTAGATTGGCAGAGAGATTGGCAGAGAGAGAGAGAGATTGGCAGAGAGAGAATGGCAGAGACAGGAAAGAGAGACAGAGATACAGAGAAAGACGGACAGTGACAGACAGAGCCAGATACTTCCCTTCCCTCCCTCTGGTGGTTTCCCCAGGATTAACGGGAACTATGGACAACACTAGTTGCGGTAGTAAAGAGAACAATGGCCATCTTCTGTTGAGCACTTCCCATTTTGCTGGTTTTGAGCCACGCATTTAATAGGTATAACTCACTGAACCATCATAAAAATGGTAAGAAATGACTCCCTTTCTTATTCCCATTTTACAGAGGGAGAAAATAGAGGCTCTGGAGGCAAAGTGACTTGCTCCAGGTCACCCAGGTAATCTGTGGTAAAGCAGATATTAGAACTCGGGACCCCAAAGTGGAGCTTTTCCTGCCTCCTCGCCGCTGTCTTGTGGAGAAAGAGGGAGAGGGAGGATGTCAGAGCCATCTGGGGAGTGTCTAGGGTTTGGGGAGAGTGGCTCCTGGTGTTTGGGGACCCCTACCACATGAGTACGGACAGTGTCTCCAGAGATCCCCAGCAAGTGGAGGGAAGAGACTTTTACCATCAACCAGGTGGCCTTGGGACAGTCCCCAAAATGCCCCTTGGGTGTAGTGCCTTGGAAGCTGCTCTGGGCTGTCACAATAACCTGATTCCACCAGGACCTCTCTGGGGTTCAGGGGGAGATGAGGGTTGTGCCACCCTTCTCTCGAGCTATTGGAAGATCAAACCAGCTGAGACCCATCCAGGCATCAGCGTAGGGCAGGCACTTCATAAATGGTCACCGTGATAACAATTATTCTTGGTCCTTCTCTCAGGACCACACCCCTCAACCCCTGCATGGATGGTGGATGGGTGTAAAGGGTGTCCCTTCCCCCCCAGCCTCCCAGCCACTCTGGACCCTCACTGGTGCCCACCCCTCAGTGCAGAGGTGGACCCCAGGGGAGTGGAGTGCTCTGGCGGAGCCCTGGGCAGGAGGAGGAAGGGAGGAGGCTGGCCTCACTGACGTGGCTGTCACTGAGGGGGTAATACATTATCCAGGGCTAATGAAAACATAATTATCTTCTTTTGGCTGCAGAGAGGGGCTAATTTAATAGGCTGTGATCGAAAGGCATCTGCTGAATTCACCCAGCAGTGAAAACACTTGAAGCGCTTCAGGGGGCGGAAATGGACAGAGTGTGGCTGGCCGGGTCCGGCAGCTGTGTCCAGGTGGCAGCTCCCCTGGGAAGAAGGGGGTTCCTGGGGGTGCAGCAGAGGGGATGTGGCTGCTGGTAGGTGTCCTGTGCACAAACAGACCTGGGCTTCTTTCTTGCCATGAGTTCTGGGGCCAGTTATTTCTCTCTCTCAGCCTCACCTTCCTCATCTGTAAAATGGGCGTTAATCCTACCTTCCTGACATTGACTGGGAGGAGCAGATGAACGATATGAGAGAGAGCCTGGCACATTCTAAGTAAGTGTTTCACAAAATTTTCATCCCTCTTCCTGGGCTGGCTCTACTCGGCCTTCAAGTCTTAGCGCGAACTCCCCCACTTGGGAGCAGCCCCAAGCACTCTGCATGTCCCTCTTCAGAACATACAAGTTCTGTGATATTTACTTGTTCAATGCCCTCATGAGGGCAGGGTGGTCTGTCTCATCCGTCACTCCAAGGCAGTGGTTCTCAAAGCGTGTTCCCTGAATGATGAGGTCAGCATCACCTGAGAACTTGCTAGTGATGCTGATTCCAAGTCCCCACCTCAGACCACCTGAATTAGACCCTCAGGGTGGGGCCCTGCAATCTGCATTTTAAACAAGCCAGCCAGGTAATTCTGATGCATGCTCAAGTTTGAGAACCTCTGTTCCCACCAAAAACCGAACAAATGTTTGTTTAAATAAGTAGAAGAAGAGTTTACTATTAAGCTGGGGTTCAGCTATGTGATGACAATGTCTCCCTTATTAGACACCAACTATATACCTAGTCCTCTGCATTATGCCCTTGAACCTACCAAGCCATCCCTTTATCCATCACTTACCATTTCCCACACTACTTCATCCCCAAGAAATGCCCCTTGGTCTGCCTCATTGTCCTGCCTTGCTGGCCCGTTGGAGGTGTTGGAAGACCCATGGGGTGCCTCCTCTGTGTCCTTCCTGTTCCCATGGTGCGTAGGTCCCCTCTCTCCCTTAAGCAGCCCCGTCCACCCAGGGCTTCTGATTCTGGAAAGGAATTATGCTTTTGACCCTGTCTCTGGGTATTTGGCTGGGAAAGTGATTTGGACCTGCTTGTTGTGAAGGATGGCACCCATTGGTCAGTTCTGCAGTTAGAGTAAGGAAGGGCCCTTGGAGATGGCTGCCTCCAACCTAGCGTTTTACACTGGGGAGGCCAAGATCCAGGAAGGTTTGACAATTCATCCAGGGGCAGCAGCCTATCAGTGACAGATCAGTTTCCTGTCCTAACTCCCAGTTCAGGATGCAGGGTCTGAGCCTCCTAAGAGCAAAGTGGGTGTCACTAAAGTGGCCGGGGGCATGCTTCTGTAGGACCCAGGAAAAATGAACAGCGAACAGGGTTGTCTGAGAGCCCAGAACCCCCAGGAGAGGTAGGAGCATTATAGTTTCTGGGCATGTCAAAGACTCCTCCAGATATTTACAGGACTCTGGCAGAGAATAAAGAGGGAAGAACACTTTAAGGCTTAAAGAGGCAGCCTGAGCATTAAAAACACTAGATTTGTGGCTGGAACACCTGCTTTCCAGACCTGGCACTTCCACTAATGTGCAATGTGAGCTCAAGGAAACTCCTTGGCATCTCTGGGTCTCAGAAGATCTTAACCTGAAGATGGCCAAGTCCCTGGAATTATATGCAAAATCAATTGCAAGTGCGTTTTGCTGGGGTAGAAGGTTCATAAGTGTGCAGCGGCTTTTTAAAGGGTGTGAGACCTTGGAAAGGTTAAAAACAATTTCTTGCCTGAGAGCCGGCTGGCAAATTTGCAGATGCCTGAAGCTCTATGCAGACCGTTTGTCAGAGATGCAGTTTCCTAAATGACCAACAGATGGCGCGCTAAACCTTCGCTGTAGCCTTCCTGTTTTCCCGGAGACCAGCCAGGTAGGTCCATGGCTTCCTATATTCAGCTTTCAGGACCAGAACCTAGGTCCCCGCTAAGCTGGGCTGACCTGGGTGGGTTGAGAATGCTGGATCACCCCAGAAACTGTCTGCATCTCCTAGTTCCCAGCATCTGTCCACATAGAGAAGGCATTAAAAAGAATGTGAGGGCATAGGCAGGAAACGGGGTGGGGGTTGCAAGCACACCAGAGGACCAAGTAAAACATTGAGAGGAGTCCTAAGTTTGTTCTTCATACCCTCAATTGAGTCCTTCGGTTATTCCCTTCACCCTCATTACAGAATTCCCTGGTCATCTCGCCCCAATTAAAGGCAACACATTGCAAAAATTCTCTAAGCCTGGAGTTCTGATGGTCTAAATTGCACTGGGGTATGAAGGGCTGGTCAAAGTATTTGCATTTTGAAGGCACTGTTAGAGAGAAGCCAGTGCTAACCGGTGTTGCAAATGTACATACTTCCAGGGAACATGAAGTGGGCTGGGTGGGAGACATCAGGGAGTAGTGGAGCCTGTGGCTAACTGGAGCACATGCCCCTCCTAAAGACATTCACATTCAGATGTTTCCAAAATAGCGTTCCATCCAACTAAATCACTTGGGCCACTAGTATAGGAGCTCTGACCAAGGAAATGGGTTTCAGCCTGGTTAGTGGAGCTGTCTGAGTGGCAAAGAAGGTCTTAATCAGAATGTAAAATAGTGACTCCCAAACTCTCAGATGTATAAGAATTCCCTGAGAAGGGGAACACCAGCTCCTTGACCCTGCCCTCAAAGACTGGGAGTCTATAGCTCTTGGGTGGTACCCAAGAGGCTGTATTTTTAATAAGCTCTCCAGGGGAAACTGAGGCAGGTTGTCTTCTGGTTCTAAGTTGGCTACCCTGAGCTGGTAAGGCCACCCCAGTGTGCTGGACTGGGTCCTTACCCTTGCTCAGCAGATAACTGGAGTTCAATGACAGAGCTTCTCAGCACCAGTGACATCCCCTCAAGATGAAAGCAGAGATCTCTTACAATTCTGCCCTCCCCACCATATCACAGACATGTGCAAAAAAGATGACATGGGTTGACTTATTTCTAAGAATTAGGCAAATTCTGAGACCAGTCCCTAGGGGAGGATAATGGGGAGGTGGTTGAAAGAGGAAGAGGTAAGTGTTCTGGAAAGCTCCCAAACCAGGGCCAGGGTATCTGACTTCTTTATTTGACTCTAGCCTCCATCTGCTGTGTGACCTTGGGCAAGTCCCCTCCTCCCTCTGGGCCTTAACTTCACCATGTATAAAATTAAGAAGTGGTAGACTGGAGCATAGCTTCTTCCTCTGTTCTAGGACCACCTTGGGCTCTCCAGCAGTGTCTTGGGGTCTGCCTGTCATGCAGGTCAAGGGGGAAGGTTGGGGAGCTGAGCTCTGAGCTCACTCAGAGCTGTTCTGTTTTTAATCTGTCTGTGTATCTGGCTTCTTCATTCAGCTTTCATTGAGAGCTATTGGCCTGGCATCTTCTAGCATACATATAATCATTCTCTTTCCCCTCTTTCTGGTGGTCCACATGCCTGGCACTATGCCAGGGGGCTGGGGCAACCAAGACCCCCAGGCAGGCTTCTGGCTCATGAAGCACTCAGTGCCAATGGGGAAGTCAGATGAGCTCACAGTCCATAGGCCGTAACAACCAAGCCTGCTAGTGTGCTGACGCTTTGCAGCCTACACTGCCCAGAACCATGGAAAGGGATCCTGCTGGCCTCACCCTGAGTTTTAAAGCCTTAATGAGAGAACCCATTTTCTTCTCCACAGCCTGACAGCCTAGAGCTCTGTTAGCTTCATATGCTTTGACATTTGATTTATTCAAACAGACATGCGAGCAAACTGTCTTAGACTCTTCTCTAATTGTGTGGAAGAGGGGAGGGTGCAATGATCGGGCGTGATATGAAAGCTTTGGAGTCAGTCCTGGGCTTTGCTACTTCCTAGCTGTGCAATCTTAGGCAAGTTAATTACCCTTTCTGAGCCTCAGCTTTCTCATCTGGCAAAACTGGGGAAAATGATAATCCCTACTTCATAGGATTGTGCTGATTAAATGAGATAGTGGATTTGAAGCCCTTAGCACAGTATTTGGCACGTAGTACCTGCACAACAAATGGTAGCTCCTTCTCCTCCTGTTATTACTAGTGTGAGGGTCCGGCCTCTGTTTTGAGATTAGGAGCCTTTTGAGGGGTAGGAGCCATGTCCGAATCTATTCTGACGTTCTCTAGTATGCCTAGCAGTTTGCCAGTACATCCCAGGCATTCAGTTACTGAATTCAATTGCATGGAGGAATTGGACAATTTCTCTAGACCAGTGGCTCTCAAAGTGTTTTCCCCAGACCAGCATCACCTGGGAACTTGCTAGAAATGCAAATTTTATGAACCCACTCTAGACCTAGTGAATCAGCAGCCCTGGGCATGGGGCCTGGCAATCTGCATTTCGAGAAGACTCCAGTGATTCTGGTGCATTTTCAAATTTGGGAATCAGTTATCTATATCAATAATTTTCAAACTTGTTTTAGCTGGGGCATTAAAAAAATTCTAATGGGATTGTATGCAGAAGCCAGTATATAAAATAGGTGAAAGGGGAGCTATTGAGGAATCATGAAGCAGGGGGCAAGATTCTTGACTGCCCTGTCCTCCTTCGGGGAGCCCCTGGAGCACTTAGGACTTCCAGGAACACAGCTTAAAAAGGACTTCCTCACAATTTTTCATCCTCCTACTCATCTACCCACTTATCCATTCAGCCACCCACTGACCCATCCATCCATCCATCCATCCATCCATCCATCCATCCATCCATTCTTCCATCCATCCATCCATCCATCCATCCATCCATCCATCCACCCACCCATCCATCCATTTATCCAGCCAGACAACGAGCCACCAACCCATCTGTCTGTCCAACAATCCATCCGTCTATCCATCCACCAACCCAGAAGTTCATCCACCAATCCATCCATCCATACATCCATCTATCCATCCATCCCTCCATCCCTCCATCCATCCATCTGTCCATCCGTCCGTCCATCCGTCCGTCCGTCCGTCCGTCCGTCCGTCCGTCCGTCCGTCCGTCCGTCCGTCCATCCATCCATCCATCCATCCATCCCTCCATCCATCCATATCTGTTGGGAGATTATGTATCTCTTGCATTTCTCTATGTCTTGCCAGCAGAGGCACTGATTGCCTTTTTATCAGACTATCCTTTTAAGATGCTTATATAGAGAACAGCTTTGGAAGACAGAAATAATGTTTCAATTCAGAGCAAAGGGCAGGCATGTGTACTCTCCAGGATGATAAATATACTATCTCGGGAAAAAAGGGCAGGTTTGTCCAGTATACAGGATGGGGTTTCCTCTCTTGTAATCCAATCCATGTCACCTGATCCTCTTTGTGTTGGGGATTGAGGAACTGGCACAAATGCTGATACCCTGGTTATTACTGTTGCTGTGAGTAATAAAATCCTATGTCTCTGACCCAGGAATCTCATGTCTTCTGCCAACATCCATAAAACTCGGCAGCTAAATTGTTGGCTTGCATGTAGGGTAAAGCCTCCAATCCTTCACACTTCTTGACACTAGTCAGCCTCCCTCCCCATCACTCTTTCATTCCTTCAGCACAGTGTGTTGGCTACTCCAGGCATGGAAAAGAAAATCGTGTCCTAGCCTCAGAGGGCTTGCAGTTGGCTTGTCAAGGTGAAAGATAGAGACCCACTGAACACTCTAGCCATGCTGTCAGGCAGAAAGTGGGAGCTTTTTGGAAGAATGAGAAGTCTGGACTTGGGAGACAGCAGAATGTCCAGAGGAGGGCACATCTGTGAGGAGTCCACAGGGAAGGTCTCCGGACAGGACAACAGCATTCTTCTGCCCCTCCCTCTGTCCCTGCACTGCTCTGTGTTCACTCTCATCTGTCTCTGCTTCTCTACCTGGCTGAGCACTCTTTGGAGCAGAGACCACATTTTCTTCATCTCTTGGGCCCCAGCACTCCACCCAGTGTTTGGCACACAGTAGGTGTTTAGAAAAGGTTTGCTGACTCACAGGAAGAATTTCAGGTAATATTAATGATGATGATAAAAGAAATATGATGATCATAAATACTTAGGAGCACTTTAGCACTCACTATATGCCAGGCACGGTCCTAAGCTCTCACCCAAATGGGAAGTGTTATATTCATATATTGGTATATTCGCTGTCACATACTTGGTGAATGATATATTAGTGTATTAGCTGTCACCCACTTAATGAATGGCAGAGCCGGGATTTGAACCCAGGAAGACTGGCTGCAGGGTCTGTGCACTTAAATGCTACACAATGATTGCTAAAGTTGAAGAGGGAATGATAAGAGGGGGCAGCTTGGGACACAGGAAGATGGGGTAGCAACTAAAAAATAAGCTAAGCATCACTTCATCAAGATCACCATGGTGACCATTTCTTGAGCACTTACTATGGGCCACGCTAATCCTCCTTATTCTTCATAGCCACCCTATTAGTTGGGTATTATTGGCCTGTTTTGGGGGAAACTAAGGCATAGAGAGGTAGAATTACTTGCTCAAGGATACCTGGCTAAGCAGTGGCAGCTGCAGAATTGGAGCTCAGGTTGGTTGGACTCCAGAGCCCAGTATTCTTAAAGGGGAAAGTCTGGTTGAGGTGAAGCCCTAGAGGGTTGGGGTGACCTCAAGGCAAGGGGTTTCATTGACTGGACTTTGAGGCAAGGTTAAGCTGACCTAGGTCTGGAGCCAAAGAGAAGAAAATGAGAAAAATGGGTGCCCTTCCTAAGCTTTCCAGCCAGGGTATCCACATCACTGTTGTATCCAACTGATCAATGTTATGAAAAGAGAGAGAGGGTGGGCACTGAAGCCAGGCAAGACTCAGCCCAAATCCAGCCTCTGCCTCCTGCTAGCTGTGTGACTTTGGGCAAGTTACCTAACGTCTCCGAGCCCCAGAATCTACCTGCCTGTCAAAAGCCTTGAAAATCACATGAACTAACAACTCCAAGATACCTAGTATGTACTAGGTACCCAACCAATGTCCATTTCTTTATTTATTCAATAAATATTTACTGAAGCACCTTCTGGTGGTGCCCCACCCATATCACCTTGACACCTACCATTCCCATGCATGCTGATCTAGCTGCCAGCTATCAGCATCTGCAACTCTTTTGCTAAAAAAATGTCAGGGAATTCATACTCCCCCACCCCCCTCCTCACCCAAGAACACTTAACCAGAGATTGACAAGATTGGGGGTATAAATACCCGAATACTTCCTTGCCCCTTGATATGGTTTGGCTCTGTGTCCCCGCCCAAATCTCACCTTGAATTTTAATAATCCCCACCTGTCATGGCAGGGACCTAGTGGGAGGTAATTGAATCATGGGGGTGGGTCTTTTCCGTGCTGTTTTCATGACAATAAATAAGTCTCATGAGATCTGATGGTTTTATAAAGGGGAGTTCCCCTGCACAAGCTCTCTCTTGCATGTTGCCATGTAAGACATGACTTTGCTTCTCATTCACATTCTTCTGTGATTTCAGGCTTCTCTAGCCATCTGGAACTGTGAGTCAATTAAACCTCTTTTCTTTATAGATTACCCAGTCTTGGGTATGTCTTTATTAGCAGCATGAGAGCAGACTAATACACCCCTTGAGTGGACTAACTCTGAGATGTGTTTTCTCCATTGGTTCCCATGACTGGTAATACATCCTTCACTGGCTCCTTGCCTTCTCTGTCTCGCTTCTCCATTCTCCTATCTGTGTTTCCCGAGATCACCTCCCAGAGAAATTCCTTGCATCCCAACCCTCATCTTGGAATTGGCTTCTGGAGGACTCAAATAAAAGTGAAGCTAAGACATGTACTAAACTCCTATCATATGCCACCCACTGAACTCCATCTCATGCCTGGATTAACCAGACATATACAGTCCCTGCTGTCAGGGTGCAAAGACTCAGGCCATCAGAAGAATCAATCACTAAATGAAGAAACTCATAAAGGATTAACTGGAGGCTGGGCACAGTGACTCACGTCTGTAATCCCAGCACTTTGGGAGGCCGAGGTGAGAGGATCACTTGGGGTCAGGAGTTCAAGACCAGTCTGGCCAACATGGCAAAACCCCATCTCTACTAAAAATACAAAAAAATTAGCAGGGCGTGGTGGCACGCACCTGTAATCCCAGTTACTCAGGAGGCTGAGGCAAGAGGATCGCTTGAATCTGGGAGGTGGAAGTTGCAGTGAGCTGAGATCACACCACTGCACTCCAGCCTTGGCAACAGAGCAAGACTCCATCTCAAACAAGGAAAAAAAAAAAAAAAAGAATTAACTGCAGGATATGAGGCCCGTTTTCTTCCCTTTCTCTGTCTTTCAGAGAATGTTAAGGCTCCTGTCTTAGGATGCATCTGATTCTTTCCAGAATTGTAATAACTTTTCATGCCTTTTCTTGACCACTCAATGAATAAGCATTTTGAAGCCAGAATCATGTCTCATTGTTCATAATTTGTTTTCCCCACTCAAAATGCCTGGCCCATCGCTTTGTGTTCATTCATATGATAAATATTTATTGAGCATGACTGTATGTCGTAGGCCCTGGGGAGACCACACTGAGCTAACAGAAACGGACCCAGCCTTCATGAAGCTGATATTCTAGCTAGGGAAGCAGACCATACACAAGCAAAGACATCAATAATATAAAAGTCCACCAGTAAACAGATAATATAATGTCAAGTGATGATGAGGACTCTGGCAAAAACACCAGGACAAGGGGGCTGAGAAGGGACTGGGCTGGAGCCAATTTTAGATAATGTGGCAGGCCCCTTGGAGGATGTGCATACAGTTGGTGCTCCATAAAGTGTTGTTAAATACAGGAAGTATCATCTTTAACTATCCAGCTAGTGAATAATACTACAGACGAGGAGGATAACACCCTCGATGTAAAAGGGAAAAGGGGCTGGATGCAGTGGCTCATGCCTATAATCCCAGCACTTTGGGAGGCTGAGGTGGGTGGGTCATTTGAGGCCAGGAGTTCAAGACCAGCCTGGCCAATGTGGCGAAACACCATCTCTACTAAAAATACAAAAAAATTAGCCAGGCATGGTGGAGCACGCCTGTAGTCCCAGCTACTTGGGAGGCTGAGGCACAAGAATCACTCGAACCCAGGAGGTGGAGGTTACAGTGAGTTGAGATGGTGCCACTACACTCCAGCCTGGGTGACATTTATCTGTAAATTAATAAATTTATCTGTAAATAAATAAATAAATGGGAAAAGACCATGTAGAATTTTCTAGTCATTCAGAAATCTGTTGGGTCCCTAGTGCACACAGTTTTTGTGCCAACTAACACCCCCCATCACCACCACCAGAGGAAGGCGGCACTGATAATTGATCGATACTAGTAGGAGAGCTGCCAGAATCAATGAAGGGGCCATCTGAGGTCTCAGGAAACCACAGGCGCTGGTACAAACAGAGTCTGCAACAGATTCTGCAGTAAGTCTTATGACTGAGAAGTGGCTAAGGCCAGCAACAGCTGATACTTCATGTCTGCGTCCTCTGCTGTAGGCTTCATGCTAAGTACCTTATGAGGGCCGCACCATTAAGGCTCTGATAACCCTGTTAGGCAGCTACTATTATAACCCCATTTTCCAGGGGATGAGGAGATTAGTAACTCGCTCAGCATTGCACAGTGACCATGCAGCGTGTTCAGGGCCATGATGGGGAATGGTGGCGAAGGAGGCACAGAGGAGGCATGCCTACCCAGCCTGGGGCAAATCAATGCCTACCTCCTGGACATAACTTCTGAGCTGAAGGCTGGAGAAGGATTGGGGTTGGCTCAGGGAAGGTGAGCAGGGAGGAGGGAGAGGAACTCATTCTAGAGATATGCAAAGATCTGGAAGTGTTGGCACTTTTAGAAACCCCCAGGAGCTTATATTTTGCTGAAGGTGAAATTAACCCCTTGTCCAAGAGTTTGTACAGCTCAGGGCTTGGCTGGATGAAAGTCACGTTTCTGGAGCCATGGTGTAATCCTAGGCTTCCCCATACCCCAGGGAAATGCTGTGTGGAGGGTGTGGGCACCTCCCAGGTGATTCTCTGTTCCTTCTTTGGGCAAGGTTAGCCTTGTGCCCATCTCCCTGCGCCAACAGAGTGGAAGATCTCTGGGGTCAGTGACTGGGCTACCATCATCCTGGCAGCTAGAGGGGACTTTATATCAGCTTATGGGATTGGCTTGCATCCCTGGGTTATCGGGGGCGTTGGAGTCAACAGCTGCGGTGGGTTAAGGGTGGCTGCAGGGTCTGACAAATTTGTTAGCACATGCTGATGCTGATGCTGGCATCTAGAGCACCTCAACTTCCACCCAGGGCTGCAGCCTCCTACCCAAGCTCACCAACAGGGCTCTGAGCTGTGGTTATCAGCTTAATTAACTATCACACATATAAAGTCCCAAAGGCCCTGACCCCATCTTTCCTTCTCTATAAACACTCTGCAGTGTGAGCCACCATCTTCCTCGCCTGAGCCATGCCACCAGCCCCAACAGGCTTCCCTGATACATGCAATCCAATCTCCCAGCCCAAGTCAGCAAGATCTTTCCAAGGTGCATCTCCAGATGCATCTGACCATGCCATCTCCAGATCTGGAAGTACTTCAGTGTCCCCAGTGACCTGTGGATAAAGCCCAGATTCTGTAACATCCCTTGGTTCATTTATTCTTCCAACCCACAAATGCTGATTGAGCGCCAATATATGATCCTTATTAGGTTTGATGAGGCATTTGCTTCTCAACTGACATCGTTTCATGTTCTTTTTGGTAGGAAGGAGCCTAGTGAGAACATTTCTTATTTTCGTAGGCTCAGCATTTGCATCCCTTCTGCAGTGGCACCCTAATTTTCTTTGGGATGCCTCCACCCTCCTTCACTCACAGTTGTGGGACTCTGGTTCCTGTCCCTGAGGCTCAATTTTTCAGCTTTTCCTCAACATCTTGGTGCTACCTCAAATCCCTCCAATACACTCTTTCCTCCTTTGCTGGAATTTTGCCAGGTCAGTTTATGGTGCTTGAAACCAAATAAATCCTAATGAATGGGGCCACCTCTCATCTTTCAGCCTGGAAGGGGCACGGGCAATTGTTGGTTTGCCCCTCCAGGTCAATTCGCTACACTTCTGCACTATGCTAGGTGCCCTTGGAGGCTGACCCAATCAACAGACCTCTCTTCCAGTTGGATTCAGTCAATAGAAAACATTGGTAGGATAATGGGGGGTGGGAGGAGAGTGAGGTTGGGTTTATTCCCTCTTGGGTTTCTGCTGTGGGCTAGAAAGAGCAGTGGCTCTGTCCCTCTGTTAAAGGCTGTCTTTGCCACATAGCTCATTACCAAGTTCTGCCAGCTGCTCTCTCCCTCTCATTCTTTGAGGTGCCCCATGGTCCTGGGTCTTGAATATTCCTTGTTGGTTTCCCTTGCCCCTGACCACACCTTTGTAAACTAGCCCTTCATTCATCTGTCCTCAATTACATGGTTTGAGTGCATAGCCCTTTCCTGCCAGGGTCCTGACTGATACGGGGGAGGTCTCTGCCATGATCCATGCCTACTTAGGATCTAGAGGAGATGGGAAGCTGTGGTGAGTCTTCCACGCTCCTGGGAGGTAGCAATAGGATAGAAGTTCTGGAGGTAGCAATAGAATAGAAGGTCTGGATGTAGCAATAGAATAGAAGCAATAGAATAAGCACCAGCTTCAGACAAAAAGTCTCTGAAAGTACACGCAATGGGAAGCTCTAAGTAGAGCTCCACTAGAAAGAGCTTGGAGCTGTAGGTCAGAGGACAGAGGCCCAACACTTCCTTGCTGTGAGGCCCTGGAGAAAATCACCTCCTGTCTCTGAGTCTTATCTTGTCATCTGTAAAATGGAAATGATAATAGAGCCTACAGTATCGAGTTGTACTGGGGAGTTTATGACATCCTGTCATTCATTCACTCAATTATTCCTTCATTCAACAAATATGTATTGTGTCCTCCTATGTGTCTGGGAATGTGCTGAGTGCTGGGCACACAGTAGGGAAAAGAAGAGGTACTGCTCTTACCCTCAGGGAAAGAGATATAAGTAAGCAAAGAGCCGCACAAATAAATATCCAATTATTCACTGTGAAAAGCCCTCTTGCGAGGGGCTCCATTTGGATGGAAAAATCCTCTCTGAGGAAGTGACAGATGTTTGAGCTGAGTCTTGGAGGAGAAGGAAGGTTAGCCAGGTAGGAAAGGTGACCCACGTATAGACAACAGAACATCCCAAGGTGGAGGTGATTGTAGGAGGAACCATGAGTGATGGGGAAGTAGAAGATGGTGGCAGGTGGCAGGAACCAGGCCAATCGGGGCCTTGTACACCTCAGTGAGGGATCTGTATTTTATTCTGAGTGCAAGGTCTGATTTGTGGCTTGAAGGACCACTCTGGCGGGTATGTAAAGGACAGACTAGGGAAGGGACAGGAACAGAGTCTGGGAGACCAGCAGGGACTGCCACAGTTGCCCAAGTGAGGCTTGATGGTGGCTTAGACCTGAGTATTGGCTGTGTAGGTGGAGGAAATAAACTGAAGCAGAGATGGTTGTCAGTCCCCCAAGGGTTCATACTCTATTTCCCTAGTTTATAGTTGTGGCTGGGAAGCAGCCAGAGACTACATTTCCCAGAGTCCTTTGCATCTGGATGAGGTCATGTGACTGGTTGTCACCAATGAAATGAGGGCAGAAGTGATGGCATCACCTCTGGGCTGAAGTGGTTAGGAGCAGGTGTGTCTTCCCTGCCTTCTCTTTTCCTGTCTGTTAGCTGGAGGCAAAGGCCATAGGGGATGGCAGAGCCGTAGATGAGAGTTCCCTACATCCGTGAATCACCATCTGAACCCTTCATTAGATTTCACTTGGTTGCAGAATAAACTCCTATCATATTGAGTTACTGAGATTACAGGGTCTCTTTGTTACAGCAGCTAGCCCTACTGTAACCAACCTATGGACAGATTAGTTGAACAGATGGAACCAGCAGGACTTGGTTATTGTGAATTAGCAAGGAGGTGAAGAATAACTTCTCAGTTTTAGCTTGAACAACTATGGAGATGGAGTTGATGTTTTCTGAGCTGAAGATGATATCAGAGAATTCGTTTTTTCTTTCTTTATGGGAATCAAGAGTCAAGTTTAGAACATGGATGTTTGCAATGTCTGGGAGACATCTGAGTGGATATATCAAGTAGAAAGTTAGATATAAGGATTCAAAAGAGGTCTGGGCTGGTGACGTAGTTTAGGGATTTGTTGTCTTGTAGGTAGTATTTAAAGTACTTAGTAGGTACTCAATAAACATTCTTTGAATCAGATGATGTAAATCATCTTTTCCTCACTTCTACCGAGCCTTTGGAAGTAGGTGGGCAAGAATCATCCAAAAGTGATTTAAACGCCCCCCAAAAACCCTGCAGCAAGCTGAAGAACTATCAATTCCTTGCTTTGCTCTTGTATGCCCATTGAAGAGCCTCTCTGAGCTCAGAGGAGCCTGAGAATCAAGCTATTCAAAGGCTGAATGAAGGTAATGCTGATGATGCTTAAAACCGCCTTCCCGCTGCATTGGGTAAAACACTCATCTTTGATGCAATGAAAACCACTTGAATGTCTGCCTTTTATTCCTTCAAACAGCTTCACCTCATAGGCCAGGATTTGAAACAGTGTAAAAAAGGCAAGGCTGGACTTCACCTGCCTCTGGCGAGGCCTCTTGTGCCCTTCCCAGGCTACAGGTATTTTACTCCATGGGGGTTTTGGTGGGATTCTGGGTAGGCCAGGAAGCAGTGTGGCTAGGAAGAGACCTCCAGGCAAAGTTGACGCTGTCACCCAGATGGCCTATAATCCAGGGTAGTAAACTCAGACGCTTGCAGGAGTCAACCAGTCAATGAGTCAGAGAAATGGGTCACATGGGGACCTTAAGAACCAGAGAACTCAGGTCATGGGTAATTGGTACAATTTGGCTCCAGCCCATTTGTTACCACGTGGAACACAAGTCCAGTATTGGTGGGTCTTCTGAATTTTCAAAAGAAGCCCCAAATTCAGATTTGATATGAAATTTTCTGAGTTTTAAATGCTGGCAAAGGGTTCCATTTTAAAAAGGGCACTGGGGGGCCAAACAAAGAATTTGTACATGGTGCCAGTGATGCCTGGGCTTGCAATCAGCTTGAAACCCTTGGGGAGCTGTGGAGCAGACGCGTGCCTCCTTCTCAATCAGTTGTCCAAGGGGACATACCATTTGGGAATTGTGATTGAACCAACACACGCTCTTTGACTCAGCCACAGAAATTGCGAGCTATAATTATGGTTCTTTTAATTCCTCCTTTAATTAGGTAACATTTAAAGTTTTTCAACAAGTGAGAAAAAGAAAAGATAAAGACTGAGAAAGAACTAGAATTCAAGAAAGAGCTAGAATTTGAACCTGGGGGCTATGTGTGTCTTATCCACTGCTGTAAGCCAGGGCTGGGTGCACAAAAAATGTTGCTGAATAAAGTACTGAATGAAAGTAGAAAAGTCACAGAGCCAAGTTTGCATGTTTCAGGGTGTGGAAGGGTGGCCCAGTGGTTTCCCAAGCCCCACATTTTAGTTCTATTACATCTAAATTATTCGCTGAAGAGGACATCTATAGGATGCTGGTGCAATGTATGAATGTACGATGGTTCCCATTGAGGAACATGAACTTAGTGTTACCAAGCTCTGTGTGTGGCTGACCTGGCATTCTCTTTTCCCTTCTCTCCCCGCTAGAATTCCCCTCCAGCCTTTAAATTGTAGCTCCAGACTGTACCACATATGAAGCTTTTATTGACTCCCCCAGACAATAATAGCAGCAATAACAGTCCCATTTAATGAACAACTACTACCTGGTAACATTGTCCTGGATGTCTGTAATGATAACATTTTAGACACCTGGCCATAGTGGTGAGTACACATGACTAAGGCCTGGCCAATCATAGCACCTCATACCCTTCCCCTAAAGTGATTGGTCTGAAAGGTAAGCAAGTGACTCAAGCAGGGCCAATCAGGCCTCTTCCCTGGAACTAATATACTGTTGCTGGGTGAAGGAAGCTGTCTTCCTGCTGAGGCTGCTAAGCTGAAGCTATTAGTGGTATAGTTACTGCCGCTTGGGAAAGGCTCATCTGCAGGAGAAGAGACTGAGGTTTATACAAATCAAGAGAAGAGACAAGCAGAGAACAGAGGAAACTGTGGATGTAATGCATTCCTTTATGTGTCTCCTTGGAGTGGGGTTTTTGTCATTTACAACCAAAAGAATCCTGACAGATACAGCCCATTATATACGTTGTCATACTGAACTGTCTTAAGAACCCTGTGACACTGATATCAATAACCCTCATTTTATAGATTAGGAAATTAAGGCTCAGAGAGGTGAAGTGACTAGCCCAAGGCCACACAGCCACTAAGAGGATGGTTTGATGACTCTGGATGCTCTATTTCCATTGTGTTGCTCTGCCTGTCTTGATAAACCAGTTGTCCGGGTTAGAGCAAGCTAACAACACAAAATATCATTATTATTACTGTAGGGCAGGAATGTCTCCCCAACTAAGAAATCTACTGTTTCAGGGTTAGAAGGAACTTGAATTCAGCTGAGGTTCTTTGGAAAGAGCAGGGAACTTGGAATCAGGAGGCTTCTAGGGGAAGTTCTGGTTGTTACTAGCTGGGAAAGTCAGTCACTCAATGTCTATTTGAATGTCCTCATCTGCGAAAAGAGGATAATACTCAAGATACAAGATTGTTATGACAATTAAAGGAGATAAAGTACACGAAACTGTCTTAGACATGTAAAGCCCTGTATAAAAGTAAGGTACTAGTACTATTATTTACCCCTATGATGCTTATGCCTCATCTCAGTCTGTGCCTCCATACTCCCACATATAGGGAACTCACTGTCTCTCAAGGCAGTTCTTGCCACCTTTGGACTATTTAGATTATTATGAAAGTTTTTCATATTCCAAGTTGAGATATTTTCTCCTTGGACTTGTGTTCATTGATTCTATTTTATCTCCATGGGTTTCTACTTCTTTTTTTTTTTTTTTTAAATTGAGATGGAGTCTCCCTCTGTCACCCAGGCTGGAGTGCAGTGGTGCAATCTCGGCTCACTGCAGCCTCCATCTCCTGGGTTCAAGTGATTCTCCTGCCTCAGCCTCCCGAGTAGCTGGGACTACAGGCACATGCCACCACACCTGGCTAATTTTTTTGTATTTTTAGTAGAGATGAGGTTTCACTATGTTGGCCAGGCTGGTCTCGAAGTCCTGACTTCAAGTAATCTGCCTGCCTTGGCCTCCCAAAGTGTTGGCATTACAGGCGTGAACCAGTGTACCTGGCCTCCCTTGGGTTTCATCCATCCATCAATCTATCCCATCCATCCATTTTCCTCCCTCCCTCCCTCCCTGTTTTTCTTTCTTCATTCCTTTTTTGCACCCATCAATCCACTGAGGTAAATACTGAAGGAAATCGGAGAATCAAGAATACAGTGCATGTCCACACTAGCTTCACCCCACCTGTCCAATTCTCCATCCAACAGCTGGAATAATTTTCTAACACAAATATAATCCTGTCACCTCCTTACTTCAAGCCCACCAGTGGTCATCCATGGCCCTCATGATAGAATGAGCTGCAGACCGCTGTCTGACATGGCCCCTGCCCACCTCTCCAGCCTTGCCTCTCCCCTCTCCCATCTCATGACCATCCTCAAACCGAATAGAGTGACCCAGCTGAACAGAGTGACTGACAGTTATTGGAATGGGCCACTGTCTTCCCCCATTGGGCCTCTGCACAAGCTCTTCTCTATGCCTGGAATACGCCCCCCACCACCCCTGCTCTTTACCTAGCTCAATCCTACTTATCCTTCAGATTTCAGTTGAGATATCACTTCCTCCAGGAAGCCTCTCCTACCTCCAAAGACTGGGTGAAATGGCCCCTCTGGTATTTCCAGAGTCCCCTGGGCTCACCTCCAGCCCCGCATAGATCACACTACAGTTGGCTCCCTGGTTGCCTGTCTGTTTTCTGTCTCTGTGTTATATTGATGTCTGGTTCTCCAACACCTAACAGAGTCTCAATAAAGAGTTTTAAATGGATACCATCTCTCCTTTTATTTCTGTCTCTTGTCACTTGCCTCCGTCCCTCAGAACCCTGTGAATTATAAAGAGCACTAATGACTCCACTACAGTAGGGATGAAAGGCTCTGGGAAGGGCCCCTGTCTGCAATAGCTCTAGCTTACCACAGTAGCTGAACCACTACCATTAGCAAATCATTAAGGTAAGAATTGCCCTCTTCTGAGGGATCCTCAGACAGAGACCCATAATAAGTGAAAGGTGTGTGAGTGTATGTGTGCGTGTGCATGCTCCTCACTGCAGCACTTTGCAAGGGTCCCAAACTCCTACTTTCCAACATCAATACTGCCAGGGGCCAGGGTGAGGGGCTGCTCATAGGAGGCTGTGTGGCACAGTGGTTGTCTCCTGTAACTGGTGTTGACTTCCTGGGTTTGAATCCTGACTCTACAACTTCCCAGCTGGGTACGCTAGGGTAAGTCATTGAATGCATCAGTGCCTCAGTTTTCCCCTCTGTAAAATGGTCTTGATAATAACAATATGAACTTTTGGGGTCAGGATGAGGGTATTCAGCAACACGATGCCGGTAAAGTGTTCAGTACAGAGCTGGGGCAGAGTAAGAATTTAGTAGAACTCAGTTATTATCATTGTTCTCCTTTAAATTTAAATTATTCTGCTTATCCAGAAGTCCTGGCATCTGGTCCCAGCTCTGCTGTTAACCCTATGGATGGCCCTGGATAAGTCCTTGTCCCTCTCTGCACTTCCCCCTCTGTTCTTGAATTCTCCTGCCTCAGAGCTTCAGATGAGTGGGCTTTACTGAGCAGCTGTGAAGTGGCAGTTGGACTGCCTGGCCCTGAGCCTGCCCTTTTGTGGGGGATGAGAAAGTGGGCAGTGGGCCTGAATCATCCCAGGATGATTTGCCTTCAGAAGCACAGGAAGGCATGGGTAAAGGGCCTGCAAGCTGAGAGGTCATAGGCGGAGTGACCAACCTTGCTGATGTGCCCAGGACTTTCCTGGCTTTAGCATTGAAACTTCCATGTTCCAGGTACCCTCTCTGTTCTGGGATCAGTAGATGTCCACTGAGCAGGATCATCATGTTTCTGGGAAATTGATCTTGGGATAATGAGGTTGGGATGGGAACTGGAGGCTGGGGAGGGGCTGTCCAATGCACCGGGCACTGCTGGTTGGGGGTACCTGGAGGCGGGATATGGTCTCAGCAAAGCGAAGGAGAAAGTCGAGGGGGAGGGGGAAGGGCTGCTGCTACCCTTTCTCTCTCTATATATATATATATTTTTTTTCTTTTTTCTTTTTTTTTTTTTGGATAGGGTTTTGCTCTGTTTCCCAGGCTGGAGTGCCGTGTCACAAACAGGGCTCCTTGCAGCCTGGACCTCAGGCTCAGGCGATCCTTCCAACTCAGTCTGCTGAATAACTGGGACCACAGGCATACACCATCATGCCCAGCTAATTTTATTTGAATTTTAGTAGAGATTGGGTCTCCCTATGTTTCCCAGGCTGGTCCCGAACTCCCAAGCAAGTGATCCTTCCTCCTCGACCTCCCATAGTGCTGGGATTACAGGTGTGAGCCACCGTGCTGGAGCTGTTTCTATTTCTGCATATCTCCTCCAAAGTATCAGCTGCCCTGTGGGATGAAAGCGGGGACTTTTCCAGCCTCTGGTGTTTGCTCTTCCTGTACCCCTTCCTGTTACCTAATTAGGAACTGGGCCTGTATCTATATCCTTCCCAGGCTGCCTTGTAGCTCTCCATACATGTTTGATGAATGAACACTGAACCACACTACAGGTTTCAAAGCCTCATTTGACTCTCTAGTCTAGGGGGGACTAGAAAGGTCTTTTGGCAAGACAGCAACAATAATAACTAATGTTTGTTGAGTATTTCTGTGTGCCCGTGAATGTTCTAAGCACCCTACAGCAGTGCGGTTTCTTTTAACTCAGAAAATCGTTGCTGGCCCCAGGTAGCCTCCATCCATCAGTGCTGACATGGCACTACGCAACAGGAAACAGTCTACCCCAGTAATTCTCAACAGGATAACTTTGTGCCCCGGGAGACTCTTGGCAATGCCTGGAGACATTTTTGGTTGTCACAACTGAGGGAGAAGTGGAGACCAGGGATGCTACTCAATACCCTACAGTGCGCATGGCTGCCCCCACCACAAAGAATTATCTGGACCATTATGTCAGCAGTGCAGAGGTGGGGAGACCCTACATGACATGCATTATCTCCTATTTTACCCTCTCAGTGGCCCCGTGATGTAGGATCACAGAAGAGGAAACTGAGGGTCAGACAAGTTAGGCAAATGCCCAATGGAGCCAGGACGTGATCGCTGGATGATCGGGTGTCAAATCCCGTACTCTTGACCCCTGCTCTGCGGAAGCCAACTGGGAGATGAGGGCAGAGGGGCTGCCTTGGGCAGGGACAGGGGGGCTGCTCTGTTGGAGGGCCTGGATCCTCCGGATTGCTGAACACAGTCCTGTCTGAGGGTCACTGGAGGGTCGGGGCGTGGCAGAGTGGCTTGTCCAGAGCCCAGAGACAGCCTGTGGGGAATTTTCCTGGCTGGCCAGAGCAGCCACCAGATGGGGGACCGAGCAGAATGTAATATCTGGCCATCTGCAGTCAGCAGCCCCCAAATGCAGCAGGCAGCCCCTCCCGGCGGATGAGAAGATTCTTCCTGCAACCCTGTGTGCTGGATTTGCTGCTGGTCTAGGAAGACTGGACTTTGGGGAATAGAGCGTCTCACATGTGATTGAAACATGCATGTGCTCATGTGCACACAAGACACATGCCTGCACACAGCCTCCACCTCTCAGGTGCCAGGGGCTCTGACGGGCACTGAGACCATTGGTGACCACAACTATTGGACCATCCACCTCTCCTTAGGAAACTGGTCAGGATTTACCTACAATGGAGGATTTCTTTGCCCCCTGTGCCAAGCAGAAGGGAAAACATCAAGATTGCTATGACTGGAGGCACGATGCATTCAAGAGGGCATGTGGGGTGGCAAGGGGGCAGCTCACCCTCACCTGTCCTCAGTCTACCCTGTGCCTTCAGAATACCTGTTCTCCTCTCAGTCCTGTGAGTCTTCAGCAAGTGCTCCTCTCCTCTCTGATCTGCTTCCAAGGAAATACAACCAGCTTCACTTTTTGGGACCCGAGAGAGTCTTTATGAGTTACTGAATCATCCTAGAACAATGAGAACTACCATTCACTGAGGATTTAAATCAGGCACCCGGGGCTGTGATGCACATGTCTCCTCCAAGTCCTGTGATAGCTCTGAGAGATGTTGACATAAACCCTGTTTTCTGAAGCTCAGAGAGGTGAAGTCTTTCTCCCAAGGTCACAGAGCAAAGTACATTATTATTTCAGGGTTTTCTAGGAAGTTGAGACTTGCCGTAGTTCAGGCAGAAAAGTGCAGAGCAGGGCATATGGCAGGCACCCCAGATTCATCTATGTCCTTGTAGGGGATTAGGGCACCCCAGATTCATCTATGTCCTTGTAGGGGATTAGGGAACCCTCTTCAGTGACAGACAAGAGCTGCTCATAACCAGTCTCACACAGGGCTACCTCTCAGGTGTTGGGGGGGCACGTGGCTTTTTGCAGTGGTTAAAATACACTCTTATTGTCAGGTAAAGAGGAAATAAACATTGTTGACTTATTTGGTCAAAGCTTTCTTTAAAAATAGGAGCGTGACCCACTTCATATGGACTCAACATCTGAGAATGGCTCAAATTCTTGAATTTGCATCCCCCAAGCCTTCACCCGGTTCAGAAGTTGCATTCTTCCTTGATTATCTCCCTGATTAACTAAACGTGACTGTGGACCAAGTCTGAGCCCGGCATGAGGAACACAAACATGAAGGCATGGGGGTGGTGGAGGTCTCTGCCTGGTGTGTCCATTCACCAAGAAGGGTGACTATTTACAAAGCACCTACTATGTGTTGAGTGGCTTTGCAAACTCACCACTTCCTTATCCTCATGACGGTCCTGTGAGTTTAGATAATCGTCACTTTTATTTTACAAGTCAGGAGACTGGGGCTTGGAAGGGTTTTGTGGCTTGATCAGGGTCCTGCAATCAGATAGTGGCAGGGGTGGGATGGGGACCCAGGCCTGGCTGGGGCATAAGTCCTTATCCCTTCTGGGTATGATCGCTACCCACATGTGGAAGACTGCCCTGGTCTGAGCTGGGGTCAGGATGGGGAGGGCCTCTTCATTTGCCTCCTTCATTTGCTACTTAGCTTTGCTACCTTCGGGGGTTCAAGGCTGTTTTCCTCCCAGTGGGATTAGCTCTGTTCTGATTTTAACCCAAATGGAAATTTGGGCTACAATCATTAAGGGCCCTTCAAGTCCCCAATGAGACCAAGCCAGACCGGCCAAGGAGTTTGCTCTCCTAGCCCAGAACACCCAGTGTGCCCCAGGCGAGGAAATCACATTACTGAATTATGGTTCATTTGCAAGGTTCCCCTGTCCAGCCAGGATGCTGGCTTCCTGACCCCATTAATCAGAGATTCAACTTTCCAAGTGCAGGGCGGCCTACACAGTCCATGGTAGTTGTCCCAAGGACCATGGCCTGACCTTTGTGGACTGAGATGCTAATGCTGAAATCAGGTTTGAATTCCAGCAGCTCCTCCCAATTTCTAGGCAATTATCTAACTTCTGTGAGCCTCAACTTTCTCACCTACAAAATAGGGATAGTCATGGTGTTTGGCAGACTTTTCTTTTCCTTTTCTTTTTGTCTCTTAGAATCCATTTTGCTTTTTGGCCAGCATTCCCTCTCCCCATATTTTTAAGGAGAGAATTCACCTTTTTCTCTGTTGGATGATCACAGGTTCTGCTCTTCCCAATCCAGAGGCAGGTACTATTCACCCCATGGGGTCATAGAGAGGATTAAACAGGGTGATGCCTGCAATGGGAATATTTGAAAACCTTTCTTCCAACTTCTTTTTCCTTTCTTTCTTTCTTTCTTTCTTTCTTTCTTTCTTTCTTTCTTTCTTTCTTTCTTTCTTTCTTTCTTTCTTTTTTTTTTGAGACGAATGTTGCGCTCTCGCCCTCACCTAGGCTGGAGCGCAGTGGTGTGATCTCAGCTCACTGCAACATTTACCTGCTGGGTTCAAGTGATCCTCCTGCCTCAGCCTGCTGAGTAGCTGGGACTGCAGGTTCCTGGTACTGTGCCCAGCTAGTTTTTGTATCTTGGGTAGAGACGGGGTTGCACCACATTGGCCAGGCTGGTCTCAAAACTCCAGACCTCAGGTGATCTGCCTGCCTTGACCTCCCAAAGTGCTGGGATTACAGGTGTGAACCACTGTGCCTGGCCCTTCCAGCGATTTTGAAAAGCATTTACTCAGGGCCTAGCACTTGGTATGGACATTAACTGTCCCTCAGGGGTAGGCAGCCTTCAAGATGCCCCAGCTCAGTCTTGCATATGGTCACACAGCCAGGTATTCACAGCCAGACCCCTTGTGACTCCTTTCCCTTCAAGTGTGGGTGGGACGTTGTGACTTGCTTCTAATGAATTGATACAGCAAAAGCGACGGGCTGGCACTTCTGAGATCGGGTGACAAAAAGGCAGTGGTTTCTGTCCTTTGCTCTTGCCATTGCTCTCCTAAGAGCCCTGGAAAAGCAAGAGGCCAGGTTGTGAGCTGTCCTAGGGAGAGGCCCACGTGGCACGGAGCTGATGCCTCCAGCCTGCAGCCAGAGAGCACAAACCTGAGGCTTGCCAAGAACCACGTGGGCGAGCTTGGAAATGAAGTGAGCTATCTGCTTCCTTTTCCCCACCTTTGGGAGAATAGATGGTATTCTGTAAGCTCTGAAGCCCTCTGTGATTTTTGCTATTTTTCTGTTAACTATTGCTCTAGCAACTGCCAGCAGCAAGCCCCACTAACCACATGCTTTCTATGTGCTAGGCACTGTGTTAAACCCATTTGTCTGCCTTCTTTTTGAGACAGAGTCTCGCTGTGTCACCCAGGCTGGAGTGCAGTGGCGTGATCTTGGCTCACTGCAACCTCCACCTCCTGGGCTCAAGCAATTCTCCTGCCTCAGCCTCCTGAGTAGTTGGGATTGCAGGCACCCACCACCACGCCCAGCTAATTTTTGTATTTTTAGTAGAGATGGGGTTTTGTCATGTTGGCCAGGCTGGTCTTGAACTCCTGACCTCAGGTGATCCTCCTGCCTCAGCCTCCTAAAGTGCTGGGATTACAGGCATGAGCCACCAAGCCCGGCCCATTTGTCTACCTTTTTTTTTTTTTTTTTAAATCCCATTTTACAGAGGTGACACTGAAGCTTGAAAGGGATGAGTCTTGCATATGGTCACATAGCCAGCATGTGGCTGAGCAGGGGGCCCAAAGCAAAGTCAGCCTGACTTTTTGGCATCTGCTTCTGGACAAGTGTAGGCTGAGACTTCTGAGAAAGGAGCCCTAAGAAGCCTTTTATGCACTCCAGGGAGCACCCTCTGACTGCGGCAGGGTTGTTGGGGGTGCCAGTGTTATTTTGCACCGAGGGTCATGCAGAGCTGAGACTGTTCTGGAGAGACTCAGAGATTGGGGGTTTGCAGCATCTTCCTCTTAGCTGGAGGAGAGCATGGGGGCAGGCCTGCGTGGGGGCAGCAGGATGGCTGAGTTGGCCTGCCTGAGCTTTGGACACTCCAGGTTTCTTGGCCACGCACTTTTGTTCCTGAGCTCAGAGGCCCTGGCCACAGGCTTCTGGCTATGGGTCTTTGGCGACTCCTGGGGGAGAGGGGCCCCACCTGTGTGACTGAAGAAGACAAGGACCCCCCGTGGTCATTCCCCTTCCCAGGGAACCTCCTCTGAGCCAAAGGTTTGTGGCTGCTGTGACCTCATCCTCTTGCGCCAGTTCCTGCTTCCCTGTAATTTATGGCCACGTCCGCATTAATTGATGCTGCAGAGGCCGTGAACTGGGCTAATTGTTTCCAAATATCAAATTGCAGGGTTTCTTGGCTGATTACAGGGGCATTAGAGTGGAAAGTGGCAAGGTTCTGCTGTTGTGATAATGAATGATGGGCCCCGGGGATGCCATCTGCCCGGATGAGACTGAGAGACCTCCACATGGCACAGTCACCCAGCAGGCTGGGACACCTCCAACCCCTGGCCATGAGAGGGGCACATTTCCTGGAAGGATCTGGGGGAGTTCTTCTCTGTGGCGATGTCTTCAATATCCCCCATTATCCCATGGAGATAATGGGACAGACAGGGGCCTAGTGATGCATTTCCAGGCCACAGAGGAAGGAGATACTTGCTAGATCATCAACATCATCATCATTACCTTATAATAGCACCTACTACGTGCTAGGAGCTATGCCAGACCTCTCGGTAGAGCTCATTTATTTAATGCATCATCGCTATGGGGAAGGTACTCTTTCCACTGCCATTTTACAATGAGGAAACTGAGGCACAAAAAGGTGACATCACACAGCCAGTAGGTGGTGGAGCTGGTCTTTAACCCTGTGTAGTCTGACTCTGATACACACACTTTTAACCATCACACCAAGAGTCTCTCCAGGGGGCTCTGTGCCAGCCAGACGAGCTTGCATCTCCAGTTCTGGAAGCTTCGGGGTTGGCTTTTTAAACTCCCCATTGTTTTCTTTTAGCTCTATGCCCAGGCTAGAGTGCAATGGTGCAATCTCGGCTCACTGCAACCTATGCCTCCCAGGTTCAAGCGATTCTCCTGCCTTAGCCTTCTGAGTAGCTGGGACTACAGGCATCCCCTACCACTTCTGGCTAATTTTTGTATTTTTAGTAGAGACGGGGTTTCGCCATGTTGGCCAGGCTGGTCTCAAACTCTTGACCTCAGGTGATCTGCTTGCCTTGGCCACCCAAAGTGCTGGGATTACAGGTATGAGCCACCGTGCCTGGTTCCCATTGCTTTCTAATTGTTCCAATTTCCATTCATTTCCAGGTCAGCCCGTCTGCACTTCCCTTATCCCAGTTACTCCAGGGCCTTCTCCCTTTCCTTCCTGGCTTCTCACCTCCTCAGTTTGGGTGGATTTGGGACAGAGTGGGAAGAAGGGAAGTAAGTCTTACTGAGTTCCTACTACCTATGAATAATTTTGCAAATATGATCTCATTTAATCCTTAAAACCTATGTGGTTATTTTTTATTTTTATTTTTATAATGAGATAATGAGAAAACTGAGGCTGAAAGGTACTTGACTTGCCCAAGATTACCCGGTTATACAAGTGGTAGAGCCAGGAATGGTCTGACCTCGGTCTGTTTCCTTTTTTTTTTTTTTGAGACGGAGTCTCGCTCTGTCCCCCAGGCTGGAGTGCACTGGCGCGATCTTGGCTCACTGCAAGCTCCACCTTCTGGGTTCACACCATTCTCCTGCCTCAGCCTCCCAAGCAGCTGGGACTACAGGCACCCACCACCATATCCAGCTAATTTTTTTTGTTTTTGTTTTTGTTTTTAGTAGAGACGGGGTTTCACCATGTTAGCCAGGATGATCTCGATCTCCTGACCTCATGATCCACTGCCTCGGACTCCCAAAGTGTTGGGATTACAGGTGTGAGCCACCACGCCTGGCCAACCTTGGTCTGTTTTCATAGTGACATGTCGCCTCAGGACGATCAGTCTGTTATTGCTTTGCATCTATTTCTAGCTGGGCATTTTTCACAGTGTTAACCATTTGGTCAGGTGTGGCAAGTATCTGTCATATGTGCACAACCTGCCCTTCTCATGTCCCTGGCAGACATTACTAGTGGATCACAGTACACTCTCCTGCTGAGCCTGGATCTGCTCTCAACACTGTGGTCTAGGCCATCATTACCAAACCCTTTGAGATGACATTTGACGTAAAAACCAGGCTGGGTGCAGTGGCTCACACCTGTAATCCTAGTGCTTTGGGAAGCCAGGGCAGGAGGATCTTTTGAGTCCGGGAGTTGGAGACAAGCCTGGGCAACAAAGCAAGGCCCCATCTCTACAACATTAAAAAATAAGCATTAGGCCGGGCGTGGTGGCTCACGCCTGTAATCCCAGCAATTTGGGAGGCTGAGGCGAGTGGATCACGAGATCAGGATATCAAGACCATCCTTGCTAACATGGTGAAACCCCATCTCTACTAAAAAATACAAAAAATTAGCCAGGCATGGTGGCGGGCTCCCTGTAGTCCCAGCTACTCGGGAGGCTAAGGCAGGAGAATGGCATGAACCCAGGAGGCAGAGCTTGCAGTGAGCCAAGATCGTGCCACTGCTCTCCAGCCTGGGTGACAGAGCGAGACTCCATCTCAAAAATAAATAAATAAATAAGTAAAATAAAAATAAAAATTAGCCAGGCATGGTCGTGCATGGCTATAATCCCTGCTACTTAGGAGGCTGAGGTGGAAGGGTTGCTTTAGCCCAGGAGTTCAAGGCTGCAGTGAGCTATGATCGTGCCATTGCACTCCAGACTAGGTGACACAGAGAGACCCTGTCTCTAAAAAAAACTCCAAACAACAACAACAAAAACAACAACCAAAACAAACAAACAAACAAACAAAAAAAACAGATGCCACTCTTGTGATGGTCATCTTGAGGAAAAGGCAACAACTTCTGATTCCTTGGTCTCCAATCTCAACCTCAAATGGCCTACCAGTAACAAGGGGGAATCAAGAAACCCCTCAATCTTGCTGAAAAAAAAAACCCAACCCAAAGTTTAGCCTCCTCCCCAAACACAACCAGTTTTGGAAGTTGCCCTTTCTGGATTAAATATTACCTCAATGCTATTAAATTGCAACTCTCAACTTTTATTCTTCAGAGACCTGCAAAGACAGACGAGGCTAAGCATTCTCATGGGCGTCCCTAGATTTCAAGGTTGGAAAAACATTTTGCAAAGAAGTAAAGCAGTTTAGTAGCCTGTAGCCACCAGGGCTGCCAACTCCCACCAGTGATAGCTTCATGGTATCAGGCATGTTGTGGCTGAAATAGGACAGAAGGTAGGCGCAGACCCCCGTGTATCTACCCATGGTGAGTCCACGTCCTTTCTTCCTGCTCAGAAAAGTTTGTCAGTGACTGAAAGTGACATTTCTTTCAAGGACCTCCTAGAATCTGCTCTGATTTCTCTAGAATCAAGTATTTGTGTATCAAGCAAATATCAAGACTTGTGTGCTCTGGCACCTCTTGATTGGTCCTGACACATCAGTGTCCCACCCCAGCAGTGAGAACCATTGCCCTAAGCCAGGAGGCCAGAAATGACCACTCCCCTCTCTAGTGCCCAGAGCCTCTTCCATGATGCCTGGTACTGACTCCTACACACCGTGAATACTTGCTCTAGAAGTGCAATCTTGACTCCTTGAGCCTGTTGCCTCCACAGTCTGCTTAAGACAGTTCCTGGGTTTTCCTGATCAGCTCTATCCCCCCTCTTTCTGATAACAGCACTCCATTTTCCTTGGCAGAACAATTTGGCTGTTATTCTCATGGCCATGGGATTGGTTGAGGAGAAACAAGTGCCTCCAAGCAGGGCAATCGGAGGCAACACACACTAATTGAGTTCTACCCCACCTCTTCCAATACTCTCCAATTCCACCTCAATCATAATTGTTTCAGAGCGCTTATTAGGGTCTGACTCTTGTCTGCCCACTAGAATGTGAGCTTTAAGATGGCAAGGACTCAGTCCATTTTGATTACTCATGATGCCTCAATTCTTACAATGGTGCCTAGAACATAGTAAGTGCTCAATAAAGGCTTGTCAAATGAATAAACAGTGACTTGACTTTGGCAAAAGAGAGTCTAAAGGAGAGCCTTTCTTTTCACTGGCGTTGTTAAAGGGATAGAACAAAAATCTGCCCTGAGAAGAGCTTGCCTGAGAGTGAAGACTGCTCAGAAGAAAGCAGACCTGAGAGGTGAACAGAGAAAGATTCCTGATAACTCTGGTCATCTGGATCCAACTGTATCTGAAGCCAGAACTAGAACCACTGCTAAGATGGCTACTTTCTCATTTATTCTACTATGAGTAATTCACCTGTTAGGTGCTGGGTAATACTCTGGCAAATAAACATCCATGATGCCTGCCTTCATATTCCAGAGGAGGAAAAAGGCAGCATAAAAGCAAGCAAATTAACAAAAGCTATAACCATTAGCCATGATAAAGGCTGTAAAGAAATGTCACATGACGGCTAGGTGCAGTGGCTTAGGCCTGTAATACCAACATTCTCAGAGGCTGAGGTGGGAGGATCGCTTGAGCCCAGGAGGTCAAAGCTGCAGTGAGCCGTGATCATGCCACTGCACTCCAGCCTGGGTGACAGAGTGAGATCTTGTCTCAGAAAAAAAACCCATAACAAAAACCCAAAAAACTTGAAGATTGAGAAGAAGTACCCCTGCCCTTCCAATGAAGAGGAGGTGTTCCAAGCAGAAGAAACAGCATATGCAAAGGCCCTGAGGTTGGAGGAAGCTTGGTATGTGTGAAGATGCCAGAATCCTGGCACGTACAGAGCGAGGGAACACCTGGCTTGAGACAGAGCTGGACATTAGCACATATCTTAGCCTAGAACTTGGAGATCAAGGTGAGGCATTTAGATTTTCTCCGATGTGCCCTGGAAAGTGACAGAAGGATCTGGAACAAGGAATGACAATCGCCTTGTGTCTAGACAGATTCCTCTGCCTGCTTAAGGCAAACACACTGGGACATAGGGTGAAAGAGGACGTAAGGGCTCCAGGTGAGAGAAGACAGTGGACTGGGTGAGCGTGGTGATGCTGGACAAGGCAAGGAGTGGGCAGAGGCGAGGACTGTGGTCCAGCTGAATTTTCAGAGGCCCTCTCATGTGCGCCCACTCTTTGGAATCATTCTCATAGATACCCTATGGGAAGCCCACCCCCCAGCCTGGCCCCGCGTCACACTGAGTCATATCTAATCATAGGCTCCCAGGGTGATTTCCTTACCTGCTTTTTTCTGTGTTTTTAAGCTCTTCATTACTTCCTAATTGTCCTGATTTTAGTTCTTTCTCGTTCTTGTCAAACACCCATTTAGAAAATGAGTCATCATTAACTGCACGCCACTCTTCACTTAGAATTAGACCCATTTCACCCTTTCTCTCTCTCTTTTTTTCCTCTTCAAAAAAACTGGGGGATTAAAAAAATTACACTTTTCTGACATCCTTTTTTTAATCTCTTTTGCTAGCGCAAATGCTATTGGCTGCTCAACTGCCTTAAGGGTTTCTTCTGCAGCCCAAATGAACAGCTTTGTGCTTCCAGCCTTTGATAGCTCCTGGGGGCGTTGATCACTGAGTCAAACCTCCAGGTCTCAGCCTCCCAAGTGGCCTGCTCAGGCATGAGTCAAATCAAGACTAGACCATCAGGGGACAAGAAGCTACTGCTCACCTTGCAAGTGAAGCTGGCCTGGCCTTGAGCCACTCCCTGCATGGTAATCCTAGGCACTTCAAATGTTGCAGCTCCAAAAACCAGCAAGACAGGTGCTATCATTCAGTCAATCAACAAACATGTCTACTGGGTCACAAGGCCTCTGCTGGGAGATAGGACAGAGCTAAAGGTAGGCTCTGGATCCAAACTGCCTGAGGCTGCTTTTTTACAGCTGGTAGAATTTGGGACAAATGACTTAACCACTCTGAAGTTCAGTTTCCTCATCTGTAAGTTGGCGGAATACAAACAACCTACTTACAGGGTTGCTTTGTGAATTGAAATGGATGCTATGGAAGCCATTGTCTAGCCATGGGTGATGAGATCTTGAGGGAAATGTACTTTACACAGAGGAAGAGGGATAGACATCAGCTAGTGTCAATGGACATGGTCACTCAAGCTGAGTTTTCAGATGGGATGAGAAATAAAAAATAAATTGGTCAACTCTCAAGAAGGGGCCTATGGCACAAAGAGAACATATTGTATGATTCCGTCTTATGAAGTTCAAGAGGAAGAACACTACTGATGGTGGTAGATGTCAGAATGGTGGTGACCCATGAGGGTGGGTTATTTTTTACTATTTTTCTGAGACAGGGTCTCACTCTGTTGCCCATGCTGGAGTGCAGTGGCACAATCATAGCTCACTGCAGTCTCAATCTCCTGGGCTCAAGCAATCCTCCAGCCTCAGCTTCCCAAGTAGCTGGGACCACAGGCATGTGCCACCATGCCCTGCTAGTTGTTTTGATTTTTTAGTAGAGATGAGGTCTCACTATGTTGCCTAGGCTAGTCTCAAATTCCTGAGCTCAGGCAATCCTTCCACCTTGGCCTCCCAAAGTGCTGGGATGATAGGCGTGAGCCACTGCACCTGGTCAAGGGGTGGGCTATTAATTGGGTGGGGCACAGGGATATTGTAGGGTGTGTTATAAGTGCCCTGCATCTTGATGCAGGTGGCAGATACACAGGAGCGTTGTTAAAACCCAGCAAGGGTGTACATTTAATATTAGCACACTTAACTGGGTATAAGTTATGCCTATAACTCTCCTTGTAACTCTTGATATCAAACACATTATCTGCCCCTTCTACCCAGTTATTTTTCTTCTATCTATCCATCTATTCATCCATCTATCCTTCCATTCACCATTCATTCATCTACCCATTCATCCTTCCATCCATCCATCTTTCCATTATCCAGCCATCCATTCATTCACTCATCAATCTATCCATCATATAATCATTCACCCTCCATCCATATTTCCTGCCTTCCTTCCTTCCTTCCTTCCTTCCTTCCTTCCTTCCTTTCTTCCTTCTTTCCTCCCTCCCTCCCTTCCACCCATCAGTTTGTTTTTTGGTCCATCCATCCACCCACCCATCCATCCATCCTTCTATTCATCATTCATTCATTTATTCACCAATTCATCCATTTATCCTTCCTTTCTTCCTTCATCAATCCTTTTTCTCCTTCAGAAACTAGTAGTGGCCCCTACAATATGCCAGGCATTGAACCAACTCAACTAGGAGGATGCGACGATGAAGAAATCACCATCCTCGCCCTCTCTCAGCTCAGTTCAGGAGACAGAACCCAAATCCACCTCTATGATGCACCATGGAAAGTGCTACAGGGGTGAAATGGAGCCCTGTGCTTACAGCTAGGGAGTCTGGGGAAAGGGATGTGTTTTTCAGAGGAGTTGATGTCTTGGATGAAATGTGAAGGCTGACCTGGTGTTTACTAGGGTAAGGAAGGGCAGTGGCATTCCAGGTGGGGGGAACAGTGTGTGCAAGGCATGGGGCATGAAGGAGCAACTCAAGTTCTAGGACTTGCATATTCAGCCTGGGAGAGTATGAGGAGTGTGGGCAGGTCTTGAGGCTGGTGGGGAGGACCACGTGGTGGAGGATTCTGTGTAGGAGCCAGTGGGCCCTGGCTGCATTAACTGCAGGGTACTTAGGGAAGGAGGAAACTATTTCTAAGGCAGGGGTCAGCCCCAGACCCTTCTGACATATATAAACAAAAGCCCTTCCAAAGCTATACAGGGACATCTATCTCTTTTCTCAAAACCTGAAGATGTCTGAGGTCTGGAGGAAAAACAGGCCCTAGGCCATGATTAAATATCTATGATATGCTTAGTTATGTGTGCAATTTAGATTTAATAAGAGGGCTCCTGGATTGTATAATAAAATACAAGGAGCATGTTACCAGGTGAGGCCTGATCTTTATTTAATTAGATGCTAGCTTCATGTGGCTTCAGGGAATGAGAAAACGACTTATGGGTTAGGGGATGAATTTTGCAGTAAGATTTATCTATGTCCCTCTCTAGGGCATCTGTTGAAATTACCAAAGGAATATACAAATCAGGGAAAGCCTTTATTGGTGCTGGAAACTAGGGAAGATTGGCATCCATATAAATTCATATAATTTATACAAAATAGAGTGTGGATGAGATTTGACTGAAAGAAGGTCTGAACAGATTTGTAGAAGGTCAAGAAGGAGTAAGTCACCTTCCAGTTAGTGGAAGAGACCTCAGAGCATACAACTGTCAGGAATGGGAAGTAACAAATAGGTTCATTTAAATCCAGCTGGTTCCTCTGGGAAGGATGTAGTATGGGCCACCATGTTGTGGGGAAGCCCAAGTGGGTGTTAATCCTTGGCTGGTGGCCACTGAGGGAAGCCAGGCTCGGCAGACAGTAAGGGCATTGCCTTCATTTTTTCTCTGATTCCACAATCACCAGAGAAAAGACACCATTTGGCCCAAGGCTGAGCCTTCTGCTGAGGTTGCCCACGATAACCGTCCCCCATTCTGCTTTCCTCGGGGGCTGGAATCCCCAGTTAGAAATGTTCAACTGCGATAAGTCCAATTTTCCCCTTCTTGTTTCTGTTGGCCTTGATAGGATTAATAGGGCTCATGTAACCTTAGAAACATGGAGGATCAATTCAGATATTATGGAAGAGGGAGTAGAACAAAGAGAAAAATAATTTTAAAAAATAGAAAACTTTCTTGAGGCTTCAGTCTATAATTGGCTGAGCTGAGTGAGTATCTCAGCCAAATCGAACAAAAATCAATGTCAGGAATTTCAGAATACGAAAAAATTTCTGCAAGTATTTAAGAAAAAAAGTGAAGCAAAACCAAACCCCAAACCCCAAATGACCACCACCACTACCCAGGTGATCTTTATAAAGGAACAGAATCAGGCTTGCCACAGATTTCTAAAACTTGATACCATAAGCAAAAGAAGCAAATAGGCAAAAGAGTTGAACAGGCACTTCATGAAAGAATATATCCAAACGACTGGTAAGTAAGCATGTGAAAAGATGTTCAAAGTCATAAGACATTAGAGAAATACAAATTAAAACCACAGTGAGCTCTCTCTACACACCTGGAATGGCCCAAACCAAACAAAATAAGAATTTAAACCCTGGCAAATTCCAAGTGTCGACAAGGACATGGAGCAAGAGGAACTCTCATGCATGGATGGTGGGAAATGGTGCAGGCATGTTGGGAAACTCTTTGACAGGTTCTTACACTGTTCACCTCCTGTATGATTGAGTAATTTCACACCTACATACATACCTGGGGAAATCAATTCAGTGTCTATGGAAAACACCTGTATAATAACAGTAATCCCAAACTGGAAACCACCCAAATATCTATCATGAGGAAAATGGATAGACAAACTGTGGTACAGTCATTCAATGGACTAATATTCAGACAGAAAAAAATAATTAAAAGGGACAAATTAGTGATATACACAATATAGGTGAATCTGAAATAAATAAGACCTAGTGTCTGATAGATCAGTAGGGTGATTTTAGTTACCAATAATACTATTGTACATTTCAAAATGGCTAGAATGGAATAAAACAGATGTTCTTAGCATAAAGAAAAGACACAACCTGGGCAACATAGTGGGACACTGTCTCAACAAAAAATAAAATAAAATAAAATAAAATAAAATAAAATAAAATAAAATAAAATAAAATAAAATAAAATAAAATAAAATAAAATAAAATAAAATAAAATAAAATAAAAATTAGCCAGGTGTGATGGTGGCATGCACCTGTAGTCCCAGCTACTTGGGAGGTTGAGGCAGGAGGACCCCTGGGGCTTGAGAGACTGAGGATGCAGTGAGCTATGACTGTGCCACTGCACTCTGGCCTGGGTGACAGAGTGCCCTGTCTCAAAAAAAATAAAGAGTCAAGGTGCTAAATATCCCTATTACCCTGATTTAACCTTCACACATGGTATGAAATGTAACAAACGATCACACACACGTGAAAATATGTACATCTATTATGTATCAATTAATAAAAACTTAATGTGGAGTAGAATAAGCCAGACATAGGGTCCAGACTGTGTGATTCCATTTATATGAAGTTCAAGAATAGATAAAACTAAATTGCTATGATCCTAAGGGTGGTTGCACCTGGGGGTGGAAGAATGCCTGCAAAGGAGGATAAGGGGACATTCCTGGGTCATGGGAATTGCATTAATCTGTTTTCATGCTGCTGATAATGACATACCTGAGACTGGGTAATTTATAAAGAATAAGTGGTTTAATGGACTCACAGTTCCATATGGCTGGGGAGGCCTCACAATCATGGCGGAAGGCAAAGGAGGAGCAAAGGCATGTCTTACATGGTGGCAGGCAAGAGAGAGAATGAGAGCCAACCATCAGATCTCATGAGATTTATTCACTACCACAAGAACAATATGGGGGAAATGTCCCCCTGATTTAATTATCTCCCACCAGGTCCCTCCCACAACGTGGGAATTATGGGAGCTACAATTCAAGATGAGATTTGGGTAGGGACACAGTGAAACCATATCAGGAATATTCAGATTGTGGTCCAAGAATTCTCCACTCTTATATTTACCTTTCAGGTGCCACGAATGTATTCTCAGACAAAAACTTGGAAAGTCTGCCACTTGTGTGCCCTCAAACAAAACAAAACGAAAAACTCAAATGCAAGCCCTTGTTGACCCAACAATAAATCAAAACAAATAATCCAAGAATGGGGAGATCATGGATTTTAAGAACTGATATTGAGCAACAAAACCAGAAAAACGAAAAATAAATCTATGTATATTTTTGTTAATAGTTACTGACAATGCAAATATAAAAATAATTATCTAAAGTGGCATCTATTAAATAAAACTATTTTATTAATACTAATAATTTGAATCTAAGCTCCTAGAATACAATGAAAGAAATTCTGAAACTAGGGAAAAGAGAGAAGAAATAAATCTTAAGGAAATAAACAGATATAGGAAACAAAGATGAATGTTCACGGAGAGTTATGGAGTTATTGACCAGACAGAAGAAATGATCTAAATTTTCATAATGGAGGACTATATGACAGAATATTACACAGTCCATAATATTATGTCCTTTTTCTCATCTGGATTCTTTCAATTATAGGCTAGGTGACTTCAAGCGAGCCTCAGATTCCTCATTTGTAAAATAGGGTCATTCATTCATTCAACAAATATTTATTGAGCACCTACTAAGCGCCAGGCACTGTGGAAGGTCCCTAGAACACAGAACGAACACACCAGGGTCCTGCATTCACGTAGCTCACATTCTAGTGTGTAAGGAGGTAATGGTGCTGCAGAGAACATTACGACAGGGTAGAGAAACAGAGGGGGACAGGATATGCTGGAGTGGTCAGCAAATAACTCTTTGAAGAAGAATCACTTCATCAGAGACCTGACAGAGATGAGAAAATGAGGAGCGCTTGGAAGGCTTTGAGTAGGGGAATGATGTCATCCAACTACTATTTTAATAGAATCCTTCTATGTGGGATCATAAATGTAGGGTCACTCAAGGATTCATGGACAACGGGGTCAAGGGATTGACAGAATATGGTACACAACCATCATGAAATAAGGGTTTTTGTTTTGTTTTTGTTTTTTGAGACTGGGTCTTGCTCCATCACCCAGGCTAGAGTGCAGTGGCAGGATCTTAACTCACTGTAGCCTCCAACCCCTGAGCTCAAGTGATTTTCTCACCTCAGCCTCCTGAGTACCTGGGACTACAGCTGTTCGCCACTATGCCTGGCTAATTTTTTAAAAAACTTTTTGTAGAGACAGGGTCCTGCTATGTCGCTCAGCCTGGCCTTAAACTCCTGGCCTCAAATGATCTTTCCTCCTTGGCCTCCAAAAGTGCTAGGATTACAAGTGTGAGCTGCTACACCCAGCTGAAAGAATATATTTGAAACTCCACTTGCACCTAGGAGAAAGTAGAGTTCTTTCTGTTGTGGGGGATGGGAAGGGAGGAAACTAAAATCTTGATTTGGTCCATTGTTTTCTAGTTTTGCTCCAGAGACAGGGCTCTGCCTATGCTGAGACTGTTTCCAATGGACATGGCAATGATTTGCTCTGTGTGGCTTCTGCCAAGCTCTCTGCAACTCCATTGGTAGAAATGGACTGAAGGGTCATTACCAAGTTCTTGTCCACATAGCCTCTGATGACCTTTCTGCAGGCAGAGGGTGACAACACTTCCCTGAAGTCGCCTGCTCTTCCCTGCCTCACCAGGAAAGGTGTCTATGCCTCAGGAGTACTGGCCTGCTGGGACCCCTCCCCAGAGGCTTGGTGAGAAGAGGATGCTGTGTCATGAAACGTTCCCCCAGGGATTCTCCAGAGGTCCAACCCCTTTCTCCAGCCTTTGAAGCCTAGCTGCTCTAGAGCTGAGACTTCGTTAACTGAGACCCCTGCTTCTTCTCTTGCTGTCCCTAGGGATGGGAGTCAGGAGGGTGCCTGGAAGTACTCTCTTCCTTCCTTCCTTCATTCATAAATTTATTTACTCAATGCCATCTAATGTGCAACCTCAACAGGTTTAACTCCCACAGGGGAAGTGCTGGGGCACAATGGGGAAGACCGTGGACTCTAGACTCAGCCAGCCCTGGGTTCGAATCTTGGCTCTGCCATTGACTCCCTGGGTAGTGTTGGGGAAGTCACTTTATTTCTCTGTGACTCAGTTTCCTTTTCTGTAAAATGGAGATCCTAGTGGTACCTATCTCGTAGAGCTGATAGATTTGTGCACATAAAATACTTAGCCTTGTAACTGGCATATGATGATAAGACAAAATGGTAACTGCCATTGTTGTTGTTATTATTATTATTATTGCTAAATCTGCCTGAATTTGAATCCCAGTGGTGCCAGTTACTTTTGGGTGACTGGAGCATTATAGAACCTTCTTCTTTAGGGTCAGTGAAAGAAGGCCTTTCATTCTTGGAGGTGTCAATGAAATAATTCAGGAGAAGTATTTGGAAGAGGGCCTAATATAAGTAAGAAAGTAGTAAGTGTGAAATCAGTACAAAAAGTCTGGCTGGGCGCGGTGGCTCACATCTGTAATCCCAACACTTTGGGAGGCTGTGGTGGGCGGATCATTTGAAATCAAGAGTTCGAGACCAGCCTGGCCAACACGGTGAGACCCGATTTCCACTAAACACACAAAAATTAGCTGGGTGTGGTGGCGTGCACCTGTAATCCCAGCCGCTCGGGACACTGAGGCAGGAGAATTGCTTGAACCTGGGAGGTGGAGGTTGCAGTGAGCCGAGATCACGCCACTGCACTCCAGCCTGGGCGATAGAGCAAGACTCTGTCTCAAAAAAAAAAAAAATTAAAAAAAAATTTTTAAAAGGGCAAATTTCCCCCCAGTGTTTTATGCCACACTGACACCAGGAGAAGAAGGGCAGAGTCCATTTGACCTCGAGGAGGGTGGACATAGTGGTGGTTTGGGCCCCCCACTATGGAAAGAACCCCTTGGAGTGACCTGTCTGCTTTGCACATACCTGTTTGTAACCTTCCCACACCCCGCCCACAGGCCTAGACCGTTATGCAGTCAGCAGAGTTGAAGAGGGCATGGTGTAGCCACAGAGAGCATGGACTTCAGAGCCAGACTGACCCAGTTTGAGTCTTGACTCTGCTGCCTCCTAGCTGTGTGACTTGGACATATGCTCTCACTCCTCTTATGTGTAAAATGGGGACGATAATAATGGTGCCTGCCTGGTTGGGTTGGTGAAGGATTAAATGAGATCATTCCACACTGCCTCTACCTCCTATGGGCTAGGCCTAATGGAAGGCACCAGGGAACATCAGTGAATAGGGCAGGTATGGTTCCTGGCCTTGAACAGGGGACACTGTCACAGTCAGCTTTCAATAACTGTCATCGATCATCATAATAACTAAATGATGGTGTTTGTTCTCTTGCATCTGCTCCGAACACCACAAATAGCCAAGGGCTGGATTAATCATCCTCTTCTTTGAACACTTCTGATCTCCGTTTTCCCAGGCTTGTGAGATGCTTGGTGGCTGATCACTGGCACTCTTGTAGGAAAGTCACCAGGCACCAAGATGGCCTGAGACAACCTGGCCGCATTCACGGAGCACACGTCTCTTTCCTGCATCTTAGAACCTGTGGCTATGAGACATCTCAGAGCACACAGGCTGTGTTTATTGAATGAAAGCGAACCTTTGCCAGGGAAAGGGGTTCATTGAGAATGGTTTAGGCCAAGAAATTTCAAAGTTTGCTTTTAGACCAGCTAACAGAATTATCGGAGGGGCATTTGGCTGACGCTTAGTATTTAAGCTCAAAAGAAAAGGGTCGTGAGAGTTTCTGGCAAAATCACTTGGGTTTTTCCTGGGAAAATAGACAGGAGGATTGATGGAGGATCCACCAGGGGCTTGCCAGACCTTGGCTACTGATAAATTACAGAGAACTTGGCTCGGAGGGGAGAGATACCTGTGCCCAGCAGGAGCAGTCGGGCCTCGTTTTGTTTCAAGGACTGATAATAAAATAATAGCCCCTTCTACCTCTACTATTTATCTGAGCTTTCTGACAACTTGTGAGGCAGGCAGGTTAGGCATAATTTGCCTGAATTGTAAATGAGGAAACTGAAGCCCAGAGAAGCTAAGGAGCTGCTCAAGGCCACATAGCTAAGTAATTGACAGTTTCTTAGCACCAAATTGCATGCTGGTGCCACTAACTGTGAGGACTCTAAATAAGTGCATGACCTCAGGAAAGGAAGGAAAATGTCACTGTGGTACATTGCAAAAATGATGACAATAGTCTGTGACTCCTCCCACTAAGGGGGGAAGTATGTTTCCCCATCCTTTGAATATGGGCTGGTCACAGAACTTGCTTTGACCAGGAGAATACAGCAGAAATGATATTTCTCAGTTCCCAGTGTGGGCTTCAAGAATCTGTGTAGCTGCTCTCATGCTCCTAAAATGCTGCCACTACCACATGTACAAGCTTGGACTAGAAGGCTGGAGGATGAGAGACCACGTGGAGCAGAGATGACCCATCTCAGCTAAGAACTGTTTGGATCAGCCAGGCTGCAGTTGACCTGGTAGTTGATCACCAGCGCATGAGTGAGCCTATCCGAGACCAGAAGTACCACTCATCTGACCCAGCCCAAACTGCCAACTTGCAGAATTGTGAACTTAAATAACTTCAAATAACAAGCATTGGCATTTTGGGGTGGATTGTTACACAGCAAACGCTGACTGATACATGGCAAGGAGAGACAGTTTCGAAGGACCATCATTGACCCAACATGTCAGACTAGGAGTATCCATAGAGATAGGACCTTCCTCTCTTGGGAGGTCAGAGCCTCAATACATGCTGTCTTGTATTCAGCCTTCCTAGAGATCCCCCAATCTGCTTCCAAAGTTATGACCACAAATGCCTCTTGCACAATGAACAGATGTTTTGCAGCATGCCTGGACTCTATCTGCTAGATACCAGTAGCACCATCCACCCAAGTTGTGACAACCAAAGATATGTCCAGACATTGCTAAATATTCCTTGGGGGATACAATTGTCTCTGGTTGAAAACCACTGACATAGCCACCCTCTGATGCCCAAGAAACAGGGCAGAACTTCCTCCATGGCTGAGGATGGCAGAAGGTGGAGAGAGGCAGCTAAAAATAACGCTGCCCAATCAAGAATTATAAATCACCACGAAGGGAGTGCTCTCGCCCAGATGATGCCATCTGTTTCCAAGTTGGTGGTGGAGATGCCTGGGTAAGCTGGCCTGGAGGGGAAGGCAGAATGGGGAAGAGATGGGGAAAGTGGGGAATAAGTGGAACCAAGGTGGGAGGGAGGGGGATTTGGAAGGCTGAGATGAAAAGGGATAGTGTCTTGGGTTGGTTTCCCCAGAGGCACACTCTGAGATGAAGATTCCTGCCACTGTGATTTACTGTGAAATGTCCTCAGGAAAAATGACAGAGAAGAGGGGGAAGTAGAACCACGAAGGGAAGAGAGCCAAGCAAGCCTGTGATATCAGCAAAGTCCCCTGGAGGCTCAGTCCTGGAGGGCAGTACTGCAGACAGCGTAGGCGATACCCTAGAGGTGTTCTTGTTAGTGGCAAGGGAGCTGCACCCCCCAGTCACTGAAGTTCACCCTTTACGGGTCACCCATGGAAGAATGCACACTCCCAGGAACACAGGGTCTCTCCCAGGCAAAGCCTGAGGACAGTCTGCCGCAAAGAGACGCAGCTGCCGGCTGTTGGGAGTAACAACGCACCAAGAGCTGGTATGTTATGCAAACATGGTGAAGAAATCTTAGTGACTGTGCACAGGATAATGACAGTGTCTGCTGTAGACACCCAGAGAAAGAAGTAGACTGAAGAGCAAGAATACATATGCAGCTGCCTTTTATCATACTAAGTGCCAGGTACTGTGCCTGTCACTTAATGTATGACCCCAGCTCATGCCCATGATAAGCCAATGAGTGGGTTGTCATTGTTCCTGTTTATAAATGAGCTTCAGGGTAAATGACTGCTCAAGTCACACCTCTGTAAAGTGCCAGAGTAGGATTTGAACTCAGCTCTTCCTGGCAGTAAATTCTTTTTGTTGTTGTTGTTGAGACAGAGTCTCGCTCTGTTGCCCAGGCTGGAGTGCAGTGGCATGATCTTGGCTCACTGCAACCTCCGCCTTCTGGGCTCAAGCAATTCTCCTGCCTCAGCCTCCTGAGTAGCTAGGATTACAGGCGTCTGCCACCATGCCTGGCTAATTGTTTTGTGTTTTTAAGAAGCCAGGTTGGTCTCGAACTCCTGACCTCAGGGGATCCTCTGACCTCAGCCTCCCGAAGTGCTGGGATTACAGGCATGAGCCACCATGCCTGGCCCCTGGCACTAAATTCCGACTACCGGGCTATGGGGAAGAGAAAGAGAGATACAGATGAAGAAGTGGAACCTAGACATATGTCTTAGATGAGGCAAAAAGAGGCTGGGGCTGCTGGGTTCCCAGCCTTTCCTTCCATGTCCCCATTCTCCTGCCCTTGCTTCTTTCTCTCTGGAAAAATTAAAAGCTGCCTTAAACCAGTGTCAGCCAGCCTGGCCCATGCAGAGCAGCTCCAGACCAGCTCCTTTAGGTGAAGGGGCCATAAGGAATGGTTGACCCCCAACCCCGCAGTCCTCAGGATTAGGACCTAGGGGAGGCTGGATGAGCACTTGGGGTGGCAGGAAATAGGGTGACTTGTGGGGTCATGGAGGCTCCCAAGGCAGGGACCCCAGACCCCGATGCCTCTAGGAGCCAGGCTGGGTAGCCCCCGGAGGCATTGGGGTCTGAGGTCATTTACACCGAGGTGTAAATGAGGAAGTGGGTGAGGTTAGGGGCTGGATTGAACTGGAGAGCCTATGACCTCGTCTATGGTGGGCACCTATTGCTGGCCTTCCACTTTGACTGCTTGTCCCCAGGTGGGAACATGGAGCCTTCAGTGTCATCAGTCTCTCTGATTTTTCACAAGAAGCTGGACACCTAGATTATTTTGTTAAAAATGTGAAATCCCAAATTATAAATCTTGATGGCTAACCTCAAAAAGCAAACCCAATCAGGCAAAACATTACAGTGTACATGAAGCATGCCCACCTGAGAGCTACTTACATGTGACAACTGGCTTATTGGGTTGAAGAAATGGGGACAGTTAGATGGCAGTGGAAATGGTGAGACCATAATGGTAAACCTTACTTTATAGGACCCTAACTTTAAGAAAACCAGTACCTCTTTCTCTCTTCCATTCCCTTCTCCTCTCTCCAGCTGGCCCCACCCAACCCCTGCCACCTCCTTTTGCCAGAAATTTTGCAACTGATGAACTTCACCTTGCCTCAAATACACCACAGTCATTTCACACCTCTGTACCTTTGCACATGCTGTTCCCCCTGCCTGGAATGCCCTCTGTCACCCCCTTCTTCTCTGGCTCAGTGTCTGTTCATTCTAAAGAGGAAATCTGGTGTTAAGCTCTTGGCCCCAGCCCTCATTACCTCTAATACAGGACATAATTCCTGTTATTATAAGCTGCTGTTTAATGGATTGATGTCCCTCTGTTTTCCCCATCCTTCGCTGTAGGAGGGCAGTAACAATATAGTGCCTGCCACAGAGAAGGTGCGCACCAAAATTGTGAATGAACGAACCACATCCCCTCTTGGTGGCTTCCTAGTGGCCGGCTGGCACAGTGGCTGATCGTATTGTTAACAAGGCCAAGGTGAGGGTTTCATTTCTTCCTTACATGCTTGGGAACCTACGTCAGGGTAGCTAAAAACTCAAGTGAGCCCTGAAGTTATCTCAGACTCCTGATAACAAACACCCCTGATCATTCTGCTTTTCTGTATTTCCTAATTCATTGACAAAGAATACACATGTATACAATTAAAAACAAAGTCTTGATAGATCTGTAAGCACAGAAAGTCTGGCTGAATTGACTTCAGGAATGAAGGTTCCAATCCCCAAATATAACTAAGAGTCTTTCCTTCTTTGCATCTGCCCACCTGCCTCTCCCTCCTCTGCCCTCATACCAAGGCGCCACACTTATCTGTCCATTATCTGCCCTCCTCCACTTGGCTCACGCTCATTTATCCTTCACGTCCCAGATTAGATCCACCTCCTCCAAGAAGTCCCCCAGCTTTCCCAGGTGGGTGAGGGGCTGCCTACCTGCCTCTCCCTCCTCTCTCCTCGTACCAAGGCGCCACACTTATCTGTCCATTATCTGCCCTCCTCCACTTGGCTCACGCTCATTTATCCTTCACGTCCCATATTAGATCCACCTCCTCCAAGAAGTCCCCCTGACTTTCCCAGGCAGGTGAGAGGCTTCCTCCATGCTCCCGCTGTGCACTGCCTCATCCAATCACATCTGTTAGGTCCCCCCACCAGAAGGAGTCCCTCATGTCTTTCTGTGACCTGCCCACAGGTCTTGCCAACTGCAGGGAATGGGGGTCTCAAATCCAGGCATCTGAAATTATCTCCCAATGTAGTTATTCATACAGTCACCGAAATGCAGCAGTAGGGTCCCAAGCAGATGACATTTAGCAAACAAGTTTTAATTTCTGCCCTGTCCCAGACTTTGCCAGCTGTAATGCACTATGAATTAATATTTAAAGCGAATCCTGTCACTTTCTTATGACCAGCATCCTCCTATCCCATTGTTGTGGAAAGGCGTGCAGCACAGCCTCATGAGTGCATTTCAAGGCTTAAAAATATAGCAGCCAGTTTTAAAACGCTGTTTTGAAACTCCCTCATTTTTTCGTATACCAGGAGCTTCAGGAAGTGGGAGTGGCCTGGATCTCTTTCAAGCTCCGAGAGGCCCTGTTCTTGGCTCCTGCTTCCAATTCCTCTCTGACCATTCAAACCTCCCCCCTCCTTCCCCAGGAGCTGCTCTTGATCTTTCCAGTGCCCACAATGGGCATTTGCCTAACAAAATACAGACCCTGCCCAGGATCGCAAGAGTGGTGGTGCCAGGGCAGGCCTCACCAAGGGTTCGGGACTGCACAGAGTCTTGGCAGAAAGCCCCTTCCTACTGGGCAGGATGACTGGAATCTTCCCTGCCCAGGCCTCCTACCTGGCTGAGGCCGCTGAGTCCCTCCAAGGCTCCTCCTTTTCCTCCTCCTCCTTCTTCTTAGGATCCGGGCAGATCCTGAGGTCACCTCTGCCTGTTCTCCCAGAGGCCTGGCCTTCTCAGGCTCCTGGCAGCCTGGCACTGAGCAGGTCTGACCCCTGGCCTCAGCGAGCCCTCCCCTTCCAGGGCTCTGGGCTGTGAGAATCAGCCCAGGTGCAACCCATCCCGGGGCCCCGTCACCTGGGCCCAGCTGTCCCCACGCTCCTGGGCTGCACATGAGGCTTTGGGAGAAAGTGGAGCTGAGACATGGCTCACTCACCCCAAGGCTCGTCCGCCCATCACAGATTCCCAGTCTGAATGGGTGTCTCCAGGAGGGTTCCAGAAATCCGTGTTTTTAACAGGTATACCAGCAATTCTCACAATTTGGCAAGTTGGGCAATGGTGAAGGAAAATTCTGGGAAGGAGCCTGGAACCCTTGAACCCTGTGGGCTGGCCCAGGCTGCTAGCTAGACAGAGAAGTGTCAGGAGAGGTGGGTAGTCGGGACCAGCTAGTGAACAGTCAGCCAGCCAGGCTACAGCCTGGTTGGTTTCCCTGAGTCTTAGACCTACTTGCAATTATACAGTTATTTGTTGTTTACTTTATTGCTGTGCCCTCTACTAGAATGTCAGCCCCGGGAGGCTGGAACTGTGTCTGACTTGTTTGTTGTTCTCTCCCAGGACTAGTACAGTGCCTGGCACATAATAGGTGTTCAATAAATACTTGTGGAATAAGTGAATGAATAAAATAATGGATGTGTGAGAGGGTGGACAGACAGGGAGGTGGATAGAGGGATGAATGAGTGAATGGAGGGGTGGAAGGTGGATGGAGGGAGGGATGGAGGGAGGGATGAATGGATGGGTGGATGGATGGGTGGATGGGTGTATGGAGGGGTGAGTGGATAGAGGGATGGATGGGTGGATGGATGGATGAGTGGACAGAGGAATGAATGAGTGGAAGGGGGATAGATGGGTGGATGGAGGGGTGGAGGGGTGGATAGAGGGTAGATGGATGGGTGGATGAGTGGATGGAGGCATGGATGGGTGGATGGAGGGATGGATAGGTGAATGGAGAGGTGGAGGGGTGGGTGGATGGATGAGTGGATAGAGGGATGGATGGGAGGATGGGTGGATGGGTGGATCGAGGCCCTGAGGGGCCCTCGGAGCCTTGAGACTGCCTCCACTCCCTCTGCCAACTTGGCCCAAGTCCCTCCAACTTCCCCAGCAGCCTGCCACTCCCCTTGTCCATTTCCAGACAAAGAAAATCTATTCAGAGAGAAAAGCTGCCCCTGAGGTCATGCCAGAGAGTTCTGGAGGCCAGGACAGAGATGTCCTGAGCAGGCCTGGAAACATCAGACCCAAGCTGAAGGGTGGCTGGGGGCCAGGGCTCATTTCAGCCACTGAGGCCCCAGGAACAACCCTACCCCTGCCTTCCAGCCTGAAAGGTGGGGAGGGTCTGGAGTTTTTTAAAAGTACAAAAATGTACAAAGAATAAAAATAACTCTCCCGCATGGTCCCACCCCAGCACTAACCTGGGTTAATATTGGGCATGTTTGCATCCAGCTTTTTTCCTAGGCATACGCTTTTTAAAATTACATCATTAGTGTATGAACATATTATCCTCTAAAATATGACTAGCATTAATTGAATACCTACCCTATGCCAGGAGGTGTTTTATGCATTTTATATAAATTATCTCTTGTCATCCTCACAACCACTCTATGATATAGGTATTATCAGTTCCATTCTACAGATGAGGAGACTGAGGTTGGGATGAATGAAGTAACTTGCCTTGGGGCCAGGATCAGAACTCAGGCAATCTGCCTTCAGAACCCACGCTCTTAACCACTATGCTGGAAAAAATCAGGATATTATAGGTAAAGCTAAAGTCCCTTTTAACTCCCAGCTCTGACTCTGGTGCTCTGTATCCCCTCCCCAGCAATGGGCACCAAGGGCGGGGCTGAGGGAGTAACCTACCCTGGCTGCAGGTAATAAGGGGCTGGGCTGTTGGTAGAGAAATGTACAACAATCACAAAACTGACAAAAGTCAGTCTGCTTTTTCTTATCACCATGCACTGGCTGTTTTAACCAATATCAGGGATCAAATATTTCACCTTGAGAAAGTATTCTGTTTGTCTAAATTCTAAACCATTGCTGCATTACTATTAAGTTTTACTAATAAGCTTCAAATTAGTACACTTAAAAAACTGATACATAATATTTGTGCATATGTATGGGGTACATATGATATTTTGTTACGTGCATAGAATGTGTAATATCAAGCCATGGTATTTAGGGTACCGATCACCTAGAGTATTTATCATTTCTGTGTGTTGAGAACAGTTCAATTCCTCTCTTCTAGCTATTTTGAAATACACAATACATTGCTGTTAACTATCGTCGCCCCACTCTGCTATCGAACATTAGAACTTATTCCTTCTATTGGACTGTATGTTACTATCTCACCAACGTCTCTTCACCTCTCCGACTCACACATCATTCCCAGCCTTTAATAACCATCATTCCACTCTCTACCTCCACAAGATCAACTTTTTTAGCTCCTACATGTGAGTGATAACATGCGATATATGTCTTTCTGTGCCTGGCTTATTTCACGTAACATAATGACCTCTAGTTCAATTCATATTACTTAATTAGCACATTTTTATTAGTTATTCTTTTTTTTTTTCTTTGAGATGGAGTTTCGCTCTTGTTGCCCACACTGGAGTTCAATGGTGCGATCTCAGCTCACTGCAACCTCCGCCTCCCCAGTTCAAGTGATTTTCCTGCCTCAGCCTCCCAAGTAGCTGGGATTACAGGTGCGTGCCACCACGCCTGGCTAATTTTTTGTATTTTTAGTAGAGACGGGTTTTCACTATGTTGGCCAGGCTGGTCTCAGACTCCTGACCTCAGGTGATCCGCCCACCTCAGCCTCCCAAAGTGTTGGGATTACAGGTGTGAGCCACCACGCCCGGCCTAGTTATTCTTTAATGAACATAGTACATTATTCTACATGGAAGTGAATTCAGAGAACCCCCTGGTTATACACAGGCAGACTCAACATGCAATTATTTCAGAAGTTGGAAAGTTCAGAACCGTTTGGAATCGTTCGAAGTCACTGAGGGCCCAGTCTGTGTCTTCAACCTCTGGAATAATATATCTTCCTTTGTTTAAACAATAGATTCAACATAAACAGTGATTATAGACACAAGGAAGTAGCGCTTGAGTTAATTCTGTCATTCTTTGCCACCACTGGGAATGCTGTTTAACATTTATTTCTGATTAAAATTTAAAATTGGTGAAATGGGGTACAAGCTGTGAGGTTTTTTGTTTTTTTTTTTTTTTTTTTTTTTTTACTTTCAACCAACTCCAAAGAAATTTTTTGGGTTTGTTGTTAGGCACAAATTTATAGTTTACACACCGTCTATTTTACTGCATTTGAATATAACTTTAACACAGAAATGTATTATTTTTAAATAATTGGGTTTAAAACCAAAGAACAAGAAACTGTGAAAAGACTACTTATTATCAGAGGATTATTACTGAAAATAATTTTGTCATAGAGAGGAGGGGAGGGTTAAAAAATGATCCTCTCCAGGTGTCCTCCAATGTCACTGTTTCCCAGAGGTAATCTACGCTGTAAGTTTCCTGTGTATCTTTCCAAGCTTGCTTTCTACTGATACATATGAATATATGCACCAGGGTAGTATAGATAGCCTCATTTTGTAGCTGGACAAATGTTCAAGTATATCTACATATTATCACCTTTTAACCTTATTCTACTGCCTCCTTTTCTCACTCCACAGGATGTGTTTGAGATCGGGTCATGTGGATACTTATAGATCTAGCTCTTTCTTTTAACTTGCCATATGCATGATAGAGACCACATTTTACTTATTTGCTCCTGGATGGGCACTCAGGCTATTTCCGGTTCTTCACTGTTACAATGTGTCCCTGGGGTAGGGTTTCTCTACACATGGAAAGGTCAGAGGCAGACATAGTTCTCAGCTTAATAGATCCCATCAGGCGCCCTCCTGAAGGCCATCCCAACCTGCAGCTTCTCTCGCTCTGGGGTTATTTTCACCCCTGTCCTTTTCCACGATGGCCCAGGGCCAGGCCAGACCCAGGATGCCTTTCTCAACTCCGGTGGCACCTCCGGCAGATCCCGTGACCCTCACATGTGGCTATCAGTAACCCTATGCCATGAGCCCTGGGATCTGTGCTATTTAGGTAATTATGCATGCATGTGTGTGTGTGTGTGGGCATGCACACACACATACACACATAAACACACACACACACACACACACACGCTGCATCCGTTGTTCTCTCCATGCCAATGGGAGAATTCCAGGCCTGATCATATTACCCTGATCTGTATTTCCTGGGCTGGCAACTAGAGCTGGGGATACCAGGGGCTGTTCCCACTGTCTGTCTACACACGTAGTTTTTCCTCTTTCCAAAAGCATTCCCTTGGCCATTGCCCCAGCCTGGGAGGTACGCCAGGCATGGCTGATTCTCCTCTTCCTTTTATGTAAGTGTCTATCTCCCCAACTAGCCTGTGATATTCTTGAGGGTAGGGAAAGCATCTTGCTCACCAGGTCCCCAGAACTTGGCACAAAGGAGGTTCTGGGTCATTGGATAATTAACAATTGATCAATGAAACACTTACAGCTGCTCTTTGTGGGGCCCTTATTCTGTTGGGCACCATACTTTTTGTGTATTTTCTCATTTAATTCTTACACGGCCTTATGAATAGAAGGCTTTATACGCTGTTACAATTCTTGTGAGGTAGTAAAATAGTGCTTATTTTGTGGTTGGGAAAACCAAGGCTCAGAGAGCTTATGAATTTTGCTCAAGGTCACATAGCAAGTACCTCTGTGGACAGGATTTGAACTAGCATGTGCCTAACTCCCGCTGGTGACTAGGTGAAGTTTGGGAGTTCAGAGGTAAGATGGGCATCATTTTAAACCCCAATTCCTCAGCCCTAATTGAAAGCCTTAGACCACCACCAACTCTGGCCGGGATGATGGTGAATGCCTCTTAGCTGGTCTGTTGCCTGCTCTTGTACCCCCACTGAAGTTCCTCACAGCAGCCAACATGATCTTTCTGTAGTATCAATCTGAATCTGTCTCCCCTTGCTCAAATTCCATCCATGGCTCCCTATTGCCCACCCTCCTACAGATGGCTGATGGCCCTCTTTGACCCACACCTGCTTTTGTCTCCAGGCTCATTTCTCCTCCTCAGCCCCCTCCAGCCTCCCTAGTCCAGCCAAACCTAGCTGCCTTCAATTCTATACTTATATTTCCCACTCCCTCACTTCAGGGACTTTGCACATGCTGTTCCCTCTGCCTGGAGCACTCTTCCTTCCTTCCCTTTGCTGACTCAACCTTCAGATCTCAGCTTAGAAACCATGCCTTCTAAGAGGCCCTTTCCTGTCTCCCCTAGACTGATGTGGTGCCTCCTGTACTTCAAGCACAGCACTGATCACATTCTATGGTAATACGCCACTGTAGATAGGGGCTGCTAGAAGCCATACAGAGGGCTGGGCGCGGTCACTCACACCTGTAATCCCAGCGCCTTGGGAGGCCGAGGTGGGCAGATCACGAGGTCAAGAGATCGAGACCATCCTGGCCAACATGGTGAAACCCCGTCTCCACTAAAAATATAAAAATTAGCTGGGCATGGAGGCGCACGCCTGTAGTCCCAGCTACTGGGGAGGCTGAGACGGCAGAATTGCTTGAACCCAGGAGGCAGAGGTTGCAGTGAGCCGAGATCGCGCCACTGCACTCCAGCCTGGCGACAGACCGAGACTCCGTCTCAAAAAAATAAAATTAAATTAAAAAAAAGAAGCCATACAAAGATATTCATCATCATGGGCCATGGCACATAGTAGGCATTCAACTAATATTTAGTGAATGACTAAGTAAAAAATTAAACTCCTGGGCATGAGTCCAGGAAAGTGAAGCTGGGTGAGCTTGGGTAGTTTAGTTCAATCCTTTCCATCTCGCCTATCCCTGCCCCCTAAATCCTAGAAATGCTGCTGCAAGCCCATTCTCTTAGGTCCCAGTGACCCAGCGGCCCCTCCTTCCTCCTCCTCTTCCTGGCTCACGGCCTCCAGCATTTTACTGCCTCTCCCTACCCCCAACTGCCGCTTGGTTTCTTACTGAAAGGAGGGTCTTGTTCTTGTTACCAAGGTATAGCCTCGATCTGGGGTTCAACATCACCCGACGGTCCACCATGGGGATAGCTCTTGTCTCAGCTGAGGGGGATGATAGCTCTAGATCTAGATTGTGGTTGGGGAAACCAGGGCTCAGAGAGCTTAAGCGTTTTGCCCAAGGCCACACAGCAGGTTCCTCCATGGCCACGATTTGAACTGGGGTGTTCTCCAACAGTGATGTACACACCGGCCACGTGGGGGTCTTGCTCACAGGCAGAGTCTGACTCAGTGAGTCTGGGGCAGGGCCTGAGCTCTGTGTTTCTAGCCAATTCCCAGGTGATGCCGATGCTGTGAGTCTATGGCTCCTGCTTCAGGAGCAAGGCACCAGCTAAGTGCTTTTCAAATGTAGCAACAAAGCCCCCTTTTTCAAATGCAGTCCTATGCCCTATGTGTCTGAGGAATGCCAATTATTCTGATCTTAAGATCCCTGGTAGGCTGCAGCGAGCCCACACTCCAGCCTGGGCAACACAGAGAGACCCTGTCGAAACAAAAACAAAAACAAACAAAACAAAACAAAACAAAACAACACCTTGTAATCTTCTTTAAAAGTCTGTGTAATGAAAAGGAACTCCCTAAAATCAACACACATTTATTGAGAACTTACTATGTCCCAGACCAGCCAGGCAGGCCCATGTCCGTGACTTCTGACTTAGTTTCCCAGGACTGTCCCAACACATTGCCACAAACTTTGTGGCTTAAAACAACAGACACTTATTCTCTAAGAGTTTGGAGGCCAGAAGTCCTCAACCAACGTGTTGGCAGGGCCAGGCTCCCCGCAAAGGCTCACGGGAGAATCCATCCCATGCCTCTCCTAGCTTCTGGTGGTTGCCAGCAAGCCTTGGAGTTCCTTGGCTTGTAAATGCATCAGTTCAATCTCTGATTTCATATTCACATTCCGTTCTTCTCTGTGTCCTAAATTTTCTTCTCCTTTCTCATAAGGATACCAGTCATGGGATTTAGGGGCTACCCTTAGTCCAGATAATCTCATCCCAAATCCCTGACTTAATCACATCTGCGAAGACCCTATTTTCAAATAAGGTCATATTCACAGGCGCCAGGCATTAGATGCATCTATTTTGAGGACACTGTTCAACCCATTTACAGCCTCTCTTAGCAGGAGGTGGGGCTAGGAAATAGAATTAAAAACTTCCAACTCGGCCGGGTGCGGTGGCTCACGCCTATAATCCCAGCATTTTGGGAGGCCAAGGGTAGCGGATCACCTGAGGTCGGGAGTTCAAGACCAGCCTGACCAACATGGAAAAACCCTGTCTCTACTAAAAATACAAAATTAGCCAGGCGTGGTGGTGCATGCCTGTAATCCCAGCTACTTGGGAGGCTGAGGCAGAAGAATCGCTTGAACCCGGGAGGCAGAGGTTGTGGTGAGCTGAGATCGCGCCGTTGCACTCCAGCCTGGGCAACGAGAGCAAAACTCCATCTCAAAAACAAAAAACAAAAAACTTCCAACTCAATTCTGAAGCCTACTGACTTGGTGACAGCCTCAGGTGACCCCCAGCATCACCAGGAGACCCCAACAGTAGTGGGTCCAGGTCACACCAGCCTTCCCTCTCTACTCCCCACCCCTCAGTGCTGATTACATCATCTCATGTCCTGGCAGTTTCCTACAGAATCAAATATCACTGACAGGGCTGCAGGCTCCTGGATAGTAGAGCCTGGGACCTTGGAATGACTTGGTTTCCAACTTTGAACTTTTCTGCGGTCCAAGACCAGGCCAAGAAGAGCCGGACTGCCCCCCTGAGGGTCCAGCTGCATGTTGAGCAGGTGGTTCTGGAGTCAGGGCTTAAGGCTAGGGTGGTGATTGGGAGACACAACATTCCTTGCTACCTGGGGCGGGTGTCAAAGGTTTGCACACCTCCAGCATCAGCATCAGCAGTCAGGATGCAGAGACTGGTCACTGCTCAACCTCCCCCGCCGCCCCCCACAACAAACCTGAGAAAATCCCTTCTTCATTTTCTGGCATTAGGCTGGACCACTGCTGGCTAATTTGAGCACTGGGAGATAAGGACCGTAAGGAAGCACCCCTTGTCCACCGGCCTCCTTTTGCTTTATTCTTTCATGTTAGTTGCCCACGCCCTCCATGCGCCAGGCACCAGGAGAGATCTGATGGCAACCATAGGCTTCAGAAAGAGGACTGGCGATTTTCAGACCCAATCTTAGGTATGGATCTTCTTGAAATTCCAGGGCACTCTTTCCTCCTTGGAGTGTCCTGGTGCAGGGTCTCTCTAAAAATGGTGGCTACAATGCCACCTGCCACCTGTGATGCCTGCTTGACTTGATTTCACAGGGGACACCAGTTGTTGTCCATCTTCCCACGTGGGAAAATTACACAGAAAAGTCAAGCTGACCTTCCTGATATCCCTCTGTGGTGGACCTAGGCCAAATCACAAATTGGTTTAGGACTTGCAGTTGGTGAAGGACTGAGAGTTCAGGGCACACACATTTGTCCTTTGGACTCTGCCACATCCCTCTCCAGAGGTGGGAGAGGCAGAGGCTGGGCTTCAGGTATCACCCTTCCCCCAGCTGCCTCCAGGATATGAAGAAGAAGGGACCCTCTTCCACAGCATGGCCATGTCCAACTCTGAAAGTAGCTCTTACATCTTTCTTTCTGGCCACAGTTTTCAGAACTACTTTTAAGAGATTAGTGGGGAGGGAGGGTGGTCAGGAAGCTACAGCTCAAACCCACTTACCCAGAAACCTCTTGGAAACTTCCCAGCTCACCTTCTGTGCCAGACCATCTGCCAAGGATGGTCTGCAGCCCCCTGCATCACAATCACCCAAGGACCTGGTGAAATGCAGATTCCAAGGCCCCACCCAGATCTTCTGAATCAGAATCACGAGCCTGTGACCTGTGCAGCTGCTGTTGCTGTCCTGAAATTCTTATTAGTTTTTGAACTAATTTTCATTTTGCATGGGGCCCTGAAAATTATGTAGCCCATCCTGATTAGAATCTCTGGAAGTGGGGATCAGAAAGCTCCTTATTTTTTTTAAAAAAAAACTAGGCCTCCGGGTGAATCTGATGCATGCCAAAATTTAAGAGCTACTGCTCTGCGGAACCTACAGTAGGCAAAAAAGGAGGTTTAAAATTCTCCCATTGAAAAAGGTAAAATAAATTGAACACCGTTGTGTTTTTGTTTTTTTTTTCCCCCAAAACTTCCAACAGCTTCCTTTTGCCCACCTGTCCCTGGTTATTCAACTCCCTGGTCTGTGGCAGGGGCAGTGGCCATATATATATTATATATTGTCTTTCATATAAAGGAATCAGCCTCAAAATGCCCAAGTACTTCATGCTCCACTTATTTGAAGAGAGGGAAGGTAGAGAGGAAGGAGGAAGGGGAGGAGGGAGAGGAGGGGGAAAGGGAAGGAGAGAAAGGGGAGGAGGGAGAGGAGGGGGAGAGGGAAGGAGAGAAAGGGGAGGAGGGAGAGGAGAAGAGGAAGGAGGGGGAGAGGAACCACAGCAGAGTTCTAGTGACGAGCCTTGTGTGTTTTACTTATGTTCTGTGTGTTTTACTTATTTTCTGTATGTTCACTTATTTTTTTAATTTTAATTTTAAAATTTTATTTATTTATTTATTTGTTGAGATGGGGTCTCACCCTGTTGCCCAGGCTGGAGTGCAGTGGCATGACCCCAGTTCACTGCAACCTCCACCTCCCAGGCTCAAGCCATCCTCCCGCCTCAGCCCCCCGAGTAGCTGGGACCACAAGCATGTGTCTCCATGCTTGGCTAATTTTTAAATTTTTTTTGTAGAGACAGGGTTTTGCCCTGTTGCCCAGGCTGGTCTTGAACTCCTGAATTTAAGCAATCCACTTGCCTTGTGATATGGTATGGCTGTGTCCCCACCCAAATCTCATTTTGAATTGTAATTCCCATAATCCCCATGTGTCGTGGGAGGGACCACGTGGGAGGAAATTGAATCATGGGGGCAGTTACCCCCATGCTGCTGTTCTCATGATAGTGAGTGAGTTCTCATGAGTTCTGATGGTTTTATAAGCGGGTTTTCCCCCTTTGCTCGGCACTTCTTCTTCCTGCTGCCCTGTGAAGAAGGACGTGTTTGCTTGCCCTTCTGCCATGATTGTAAGTTTCCTGAGGCATCTCCAGCCATGCAGAACTGTGAGTCAATTAAACCTCTTTCCTTTATAAATTACCCAGTCTCCGTCAGTTCTTTATAGCGCGTGAGAATGGCTTAATACACCTTGGTTTCCCAAAGTGCTGGGATTACAAGTGTGAGCCACCATGCCCAGACTGTACATTCATTTATAATCACATTCTCTCCCCTCTCCAATCCTCCTTTCTCCTTATCTCCTTATCTAGCTCTTGACCACTTAAGGAAGGGATGACAGATTCTAAGGCCATTCTTATACATTCCTGAATTGCTGTGAAGTCCCCTCTTGTTATGGGTTGAATTCTGTCCCCATAACAAGATCTCACTGGGGAGTCCTACCATATCCAATGGCTTCTGATCTAGCCCCATGAGCCATCTTACTACGTTTACCTCTGGGTGTGAGTGACAACTGGCCCTAAGTAGAATCCCCTCACGTTAAGACCATGACTTCTAGAATTAAATGGACCCAGGTTCAAATCCTGGCTGTGCCACTTACGGAATGACCCTGAGAGTAACTTCACCTCTCTGAGCCTCAGGGTCTTCATCTGTAAAATGGGGATTATAGGGGGGATTGCCTCATCTTTTCAAAGATACTAATGCAGTTGAACCTAGAGGACGTTATGGTGAGTGAAATAAGCCAGGCACAGAAGGGCAGATACCCCATGATCTCATTTATATGTGAAATCTAAAAGAAAGTAGAATACACAGAGATAGAGTTAAAAACAGTGATTACCAGGGGTGAAAGGGGTAGGAAGTAGGGAGATGTAGGTCAAAGGATACAAAGGGATAGATATGTGGAATGAAGTCTAGAGATCTAATGAACAACATGCTGATTATGGTGTATTGTATTGTATTTGGGATTTTTGCTAAAAGAATACACTTTAGGTGTTCTTGCCACAGGAATAAAAAGGGTAACTGTGTGAGTTGATGGATGTGTTTATCTGCTTGACTATCATAATTATTTCAGTCTCTCTCTATATATCAAAACATCATGCTATACACTTTATTATTATTATTATTATTATTATTATTATTGAGACAGGGTCTCACTCTGTTGCCCAGGCTGGAGTACAATGGTGCGATCACAGCTCACTACAGCCTTGACCTCTTGGACTCAAGGGATCCTCCCACCTTAGCCTCCCAAGTAGCTGGGAATACAGATGCACGCCACCATGCCCGGCTAAATTTTTACTTTTGTAGAGATGGGGTCTCACCATGTTGCCCAGGTTGGTCTTGAACTCTTTGGCTCAAGCAATCCTCTTGCCTCGGCCTCCCAAGGTGCTGGGATTACAGGTTTGAGCTACTGAGTCTGGCTGTACATTTCAAATATATACAATAAACTTTTTGAAAAATCGAAGGGATGGGAAAAATGCTAATATATAGAGATGGCTTAGCATAGTACCAGAAACACAGGAAATGTCCATGCAATGGTGATGGTTTTTTTTTTTTAAATCAATTCACAGATAATTTAGAGCATTTTCTTGCTTGTCCATAGAGAGGCTTTCAAACCAGAGCATCCATGTTGCCCTTGGTTTCCAAAATCCAAGATCACTCAAATGTTAGTACGAACAACTGCATGATTCCAATTTTAGCCCTAAGACCAGGAGGTCTGACCCTGGGCCCGCAGAGGTCTGCAAACCTCCTCTGCAAGATGCGAGAAACAATTCAGGGTATATGTGTGTTTTTCTGCAGAGAAAGGCTTTCACTGTTACCAGATACTCAAAGGGATTCTCCATCCACAAAAGGATCAGCTTGTGAGGATGATGTGAGCAGACTGCTTATGTCCAGGAGCCAGGAGAAGGGACCCACTCTTTACTGACCCTCCTAAGTGGCAGGCTGACATACACTATCCCCATACTAACAACAATCAGACAATGTAGGCATCATTGCTCCCATTTTCTAGATGAGGAAACTGAGGCTTGGAGAGTTCAAATTAGGAGACAGACACTGAGCTCTATCACTTACCCTACAGCTGGTACAGGGCTGGGATTTCAGCTTGTGTCTATGTGATCCCAAGCTGGGTCCTGTCCTTGGTGCCATGCAGCCTCTGGGGAATGGAGTGAGGTGATCTAGCCAGGAAATGCATACCCTGTCTTCTGTCAGAGCCCTCAGGAGACCAGGCTTTGAAGTTTCAGAGACCATGAGACAATCCCTCTTTAAATCTATGAGTATCTACTCTCAAGTACACAGAATGTCCCACCCAAACTCTGATACCCCCTCCTGGGTAAAGTCTCCACCTTTCCTTGAAGAAGAGTCCATTTCTCTCTCTTCCATGTTCCTCTGGTACGTGGCTTATACCCATCTTGCTTCCTCTCTCATGGTCTGGCTGTGTGCTATGTCAGAGGCCATGGAGTGGTTAAAAACCTGGGTCTTGGAGGCAGGTGGAGTTCTGGCTCTGCCACTTATCAGCTATGTGACCTTGAATTATTCACTTAACCCCTCTGAGCCTCACTTTCTACACTTATGAAATGAAGCTAATAGGACCTACCTCACAAGATAGGGTATGATATTTTTCTCTTGTACTCTGTATCAGGGGCATCCTCTCTTCATTCTCCATCTACGTCCTATTCTCCTATTAGTTAGAACTTAATAAATGGCAGCAGTGATCTCAGCTATTGTCATTGTGTTATTATTAGCTGAGTGCACATTTACATCCACCACTTCCCCCAGACCCTAAGCTCCCGGAAGGGAGTGATTTTTCATTTCCATATCTCTAGCACCTGCCATAGTTGCTGGAGCATAATATATCCTTAGGAAATGTTTGTTGCTGAATAAGAAATTCAAAAAAGTCCCGCTTACACAATTGATAATATACATGTAACATTCAGAGCTCCAAATCTGCTCCAAAAAAGTACAAGTTCCAGGAAGTTTCAGAGACTTTTTTTTTTCTTTTTTTTTTTTTTAGACAGTGTCTTGCTCAGTCACCCAGGCTGGAGTGCGGTGGCACGATCATAGCTCTTTACAACCTCAACCTCTGGGCTCAAACAATCCTCCAGCCTCAGCCCCCTGAGTAGCTGGGACTATAGACGCATGCCACCATACCTGGCTAAGTTTTGTATATTTTGTAGAGACAAGATGTCGAGCCCTTGTTGCCCAGGCTGGTCTTGAACTCCTGGGCTCAAGTGATCTACTCTCCTAGGTCTCCCAAAATGCTGGGATTATAGGCATGAGCCACTGTGCCCAGCCCAGAGACACTTTTGAGTGAAAGATCCTCCATGGGTTACTGGGAGAGCGGGGAAAGTTAGGGTATGAACTTAACCTCAGGGCTACATGCAATAGGGCCAACTATTACTCCACGATGTGTGTTTTGATGGCACTTGTCCACTTTATCAGGGACCAAAGGTCATGTGCCTTCCATCTTCCCAACCAGTAACCTTTTCACCCATTTGTGTATCCATCCCAGCCTTCCAGTTGTTTATGCAACCATCCCCTCATCCACTCATCTATCTATCCATGCATTCAAACAACCATCCCCATCCACCATCTATTCATACATTTATCCACTCATACACTCATCACAAACATCTTTATTGAACACTTTCTAGCTTCCAGGCACTGTTAGGCATTGTTGTGACCTAATGCCGAATATCATATGAATTTCACCTTCAAGGAATTTATACTCTAGAGGGGGAGACCATTGAGTAAATAGATCATCTCAATTCAATGATGTAAATTATGATAGGGATGAGTTCAAGAGGCTGTGGGAGGACATAGGACCTAGAAGGCCTCAGGGAAGACCGGCAGAGGTGCTGTCTATGCCAAGGTAGGGAAGACAAGTAGAGGATGCTGCTGGGGAGGAGAGCTTTCCATGTGGAAGAACAGCAAGGGCAAGAGGATGTCTACTGATCTGGGGAAATTGCAAGTGGTTATATTTGGCTTGATTATGGGAGGTGAAGCTGGAAGGAATAGGGTTGGCTAGAGACCAGGGCTTGGTCACAATGGGCCTTGGGTTGAGTTTGAACTTGGACTTTATCCCAAGGGGACTGGGGAGGCTTGGGTTGATATCAGAGGCTTGAGTGAAGGCAGCAGGCTTTAGAAAGAACTCTCACACAGGAGATTTCTCTTGTAGGAAATAGATTCTCTTTATGAAGAGAATGACCCGGGAAACAAGTCATCAGACTCGGGAATGATAGCAGAAGCCTTCTTCTTTCTGACATCTGGTCTTGCTGTCTCCTTTTCCAGGACCATTTTATGGCTGGTTGAAAATCTAGTGATGCTGGTGGGAGGGAAGCTAATGATTCAGACAGTCATTAATATTCTCCCTGAAGAAGCTTCCTTGAAGATCTAAGGGGAAATCAGACCCCCAAGGCCAGGAGAATTTCTATAGTGCGTAACTGCGGGCAATAATAGCCCCCATGACTATGCTTTGGCCAGTCATTGGGGATGGGCTTGCATGCATCGTATCAGCTCCACTCCTTCTCCTGGCTATAGTGGTGGCTGGGGGCTCATTTTCCAGATCAGCAGCCAGGTTAGGGGGCACATACTACAGCCAAGGGGCAGAGCATGGGACACAGATTTACTGCACACCTACTATGTGCCATTAGATCCACTTGAGATATAAGAGAAATCAAACCAGGTCCCTGCTTTCCAGGAGCTTATAGTTATATTAAGTATACAGGACCTATGCATCAAAAGAAAGTTGTCAACATTTTTTTTTGATATAGGGTCTGGCTCTGTCACTCAGGCTGGAGTTCAGTGGCACAATCTCATCTCACTGCAACCTCCACCTCCCAGGCTCAAGTGATCCTCCCGACTCAGCCTCCTGAATAGCTAGGACTACAGGCATACGCCACTATGCCCGGCAAAATTTTTTTTTTATATTTTTTGTAGAGATGGGATTGTGCCACATTGCCCAGGCTGGTCTCGAATGTCTGACCTCAAGCAATCCTCCTGCCTTGGCCTCCCAAAGTGCTGAGATTTCAGCTGTGAGCCACTGCACCCAGCCTGTTGTCAATATTTTGAAATGCAGAGAAAGGGGAAGAACAAAGGAAGTTGAAGCACCAACATCTCATCTGAAATAGTGTGGAGTCAAAATATAACACCTGTAGTGGATGAAATAAAAAATGAAATCATAAAGACATTTGTTAGAGTTGCCAAGGTAACCAAAGTAGAACTAAAAATAGTGATAAACCTATTTTGGGAGGACAGGGCAAGAAATATCAATAGATGAGGTCTAAGGTCTGTAAATCGATAAAGACCATGTTTTAGCATGGTGCTTAGAGATTTGGAGATAACCACAGAAGAAACACCCAGAAAACTTAAGAATGGTAGCCCCTGGGAAGCAGAATAAAAGTAGGAAGAAGTGGGGGGGAGAACTGTTTCCTGTTGTACGGGGTTCTCTCTCATTTGATTCTTTTTTTCACCATGTGCATGTTGGTAGATAAAAATAATTCTGAATGTTCAAATAGAAATAAGTCTTAACTAAATGGAATCGGTAGCATGAGGCAGACAGCACTATTTGATTTGTAGCAAGGGGTCTGTGGATACAATTCAGAGAAGCTGTGAACCTGGATGGGAAAAAATTACATCTTTGTTTTACATTAACCTCTAACTGAAATGTAGCACTAGCTTTCATTATGAATATAGATCAATAGCCACAGTAGTATGATCGTACCTGTGACTTTACCACCAAAAGAAATCATAAGCATTTTCATATCACCTTACACTTGTTACAAATATCTTGAAATGTTTATGTTCATTACTACTTCAAAATTATAGAATCTGTTAGACTCACAGCTAGCTCGTTTGTTAATGCGTTAATAAAGAAACACACATGTTGGCTGGGCGCGGTGGCTCACGCCTGTAATCCCAGCACTTTGGGAGGCCAAGGTGGGTGGATCATCTGAGGTCAGAAGTTTGAGAGCAGCCTGGTTAACATGGTAAAACCCTGTCTCTACTAAAAATACAAAAATTAGCCGGGCGTGGTAGTGGGCACCTGTAGTCCCAGCTACTCGGGAGGCTGAGGCAGAAGAATCACCTAAACCCGGGAGGCGGAGGTTGCAGTGAGTCGAGGTTGCACCACTGCACTTCAGCCTGGGTGACAGAGCAAGACTCTGTCTCAAACAAAAACAAAAACAAAAAATTTGGTAACTATATTTCAGTATAATTACTTCCTTTGCAATACTATGTGTTATATTTTACGCATTTAAAAACATTATTTGTTTTCAAAGTAGCAAAGTTATGGAATCAACCTAGATGCCCAGCAGTGGACTGGATAAAGAAAATATGGTTTGGGCCGGGAGCAGTGGCTCATGCCTGTAATCCCAGCACTTTGAGAGGCCAAGGCAGGAGGATCACTTGAGCTCAGTTTGAGACCAGACTAGACAACATGGTGAAACCCCATCTCTCCAAAAAACACAAAAATTAGCTGGGCATGGTGGCTCAAGGACCTCTGGTTCCAGCTACTCAGGATACAGAGGCAGGAGGATTGCTTGAGCCCAGGAGGCAGAGGTTGCATTGAGCTGAGCTGCTCCATTGTACTCCAGCCTGGGCAACAGAATGAGACCTTGTCTCCCCAAAAAAAAAAAAAAAAAAAAAAAAAGGAAAAGAAAAGAAAAAATGTGGTACATATAAATCATGGAATACTACACAGGCATAACAAAGAATGAAATCACCTTCTTTGCAGCAACATGGATGCAGCTGGAGACCATTATCCTAAGCGAATTAATGCAGAAACAGAAAACCAAATACCACATGTTCTCACTTATAAGTGGGTGCTAAATATTGAGTACACATGGACACAAAGAGGGGAACAATAGACACCAAGACTTACTTGAGGGTGAAGGGTGGGAGGAGGGTGAGGTTCGAAAAACTACCTATCGAGTACTTATGTTCACTACTTGGTGACAAAATCACATGTACACCAAACCCCAGTGACACACAATTTTCCTGTGTAACAAACTTGCACATGTACCCTCTGAACCTAAAAAAGAAGTTGGATTTCATCCATGTCCCTACAAAGAACATGAACTCATCCTTTTTTATGGCTGCATAGTATTCCATGGTGTATATGTGCCACATTTTCTTAATCCAGTCTATCATTGTTGGACATTTGGGCGGGAAAAAGAAAAAGAAGTTGGAAGAGAAAAATAAAGAAATAAAAACCTTATTCTGAGAAGAGTCTGTAGGTTTCACCAGACTATCAAAGAGTCTATGGCATAAAACAGGTTGAGAACCTGCATTAGAAAAAGGAGAATAGCTATGAGGTAAAGGCACCGGACAAAGTCTTCATAGGCAGAGAAGCAGGATTCACATGTTGAGGGAAGCTAGGACCCAGAATGATGGAGAGATAGAGAAAGCTGGTGAGGGAATGATGATGATGGTAACACGTCATCACTGATGATATGAATGAGGTTGATGGTAACAGTAACACAGCAGTTATTATTTACCGAGTGGGTCACAAAGTTTCAGACGCTGACTAAGCCCCTTGCAAACATGATCACATTCACTTTTGACAATAACTGTACAAAGGTGTGAATGCTATTTCTCTTTTACAGCCTAGGAAACACAGCCCCAGATATGTCCCGGGTCTACTCTCGGGTCTCCTAGCTAGCAAGTCGTAGAGCTAGAATTCAGGCCATGGGCTGCCTGATTCCCCAGCTTGTGCCCTTACTCACTCGTCCATTCTGCCAAGCGCAGGGAAGGTCTTGTTCTCATTTAACCAATGAAAAAACTAAGGCTCAGAACGAGTAAAGTGAAGCCAAGCCCAGGATCTCAATATGCTTAGGAAAAGCAGGTGAGATTTCTCCCTTGCTTCACTGCTACTGATTTCCTTCCTTATCCCTGATGGTACCTCCAGGGCCTGGGAGGCTCAAGGAACCTCGTGCCAGTTCTCTGGGCATCACCATCAAAGCTCAAATCCTGCCTAGTCTTCCTTTAACACAACATATGGCTCAGATTCTTCCTTCCAATTTTTTTTTTAGATGGGTTCTCACTCTGTCACCCAGGCTGGAGTGTGGTGGCATGATCACGGCTCACTGCAGCCTTGACCTCCTGGGGCTTAAGCAATCCTCCCACCTCAGCCTCCTGAATAGCTGGGACTCCAGGAGCATGCCACCACACCTGGCTAATTTTTATTTTTATTTTTTTGTAAAGACAGGGTTTCGCCATGTTGCCCAGCCTGGTCTCTAACTCCTGGATTCAAGTGATCCTCCTGCCTCGGCCTCCCAAAGTGCTGGGATTACAGGCGTAAGCCACCACACCTGGCCCTTCCTTCCCATTTTAGCCATTGAAGCCCTCCTGCTATCAGGCCTAAATAACATCATAGCCTCTTAATTCAGCTCCCCAATTCTAATCCATGCTCCCCATGAATGCGAGATGTGTCTGAACATGAGTTTCTCAAATTGGGGTCCCCTGGGGGTCCACAATACACTATGATCACGTTGTAATTGCTTTAAGTTATAGGATATTACCATCATCCTTTTCTGAATTAACTGATCACTATCTAATCATCATGCACTGCCACATGATTCTGGTGTCTGTTCCGCACTTGTGTTTGTGATGACAACTGTGCTGAACTGTCTCACTTTAATTACTGCGCAATGACAAGAAAATATCATGGACATGATACAGAAATGCCCTTCTTTGTGCCTGGTAAAGGCTCAAGAATGGAATGCCATGCTGTATGAACAGAAGGTTCACAGAAGTCTGAGAAGGGGAAAGTGGAAAATCACAGAGGTCCTCACAGAGGCAGGGGAAAATCAAAAGAACTCTCTGGAATAAATACATTTTAAAAATGATATGTGCTGATTAAGCTCTTGAAAAAAGAACTGTCTGGGGAGTGTGTCCACTATTCAGATTGTGAGTGGCAGTTTTGTCTCGGCAAGACATCACTGTGCCCACCACAGACATGTTTTTAATTTGAATTTTATTGGTTTTGTAATTGGAATCATATTTAATTTGCAGATTTGTTTTGGTTTTATAGCAGTAGATAAGATATAAGTGAAGAACTTATATCTGCTTTTATGCCAACATACATTTAAAAAACATCATAATAGAAATATTTTATGGTGACATTGGCAAAGGGGAGGTGTCTGTGAGAATAGGTACCCTTTAAAAGCATCCCATGTTAGCCGGGCATGGTGATGCGTGCCTGTAGTCCCAGCTACTTGGGAGGCTGAGGCAGGAGGATGGCTTGAGGCCAGGAGGTTGAGGTTGCAGTAAGCTGTGATCATGCCACTGCACTCCAGGCTGGGTGACCAAGCAAGACGCTGTCTCCGTTAAAAAACGAACAAACAAAACAAAACAAAATGGCCAGAGGTCACATGGTAGCTCAAGCCTATAATCCCAGCCCTTTGGGAAGCTGAGGTATGTAGATTGAGCCCAGCAGTTTAAGGCCAGCCTGGGAGACATGGGGAATCCATGTCTGTACAAAAAAATTTAAAAAATTACCAGGCATTGTGGAGCATGCCTATAGTCCCAGCCACTGGGGAGGCTGAGGTGGGAGGATCACCTGAGCCCAGGGAGATTGAGGCTGCAGTGAGCCATGATCATGCCATTGCACTCCAGCCTGGGTGACAGAGCAAGGCCCTGTCTCAAAAAAAAAATTAAAAATGTTTATCATCACTGGCCATCAAAGAAATGCAAATCAAAACCACAATGAGATACCATCTCACATCAGTTAGAATGGCAATCATTAAAAAGTCAGGAAACAACAGGTGCTGGAGAGGATGTGGAGAAATAGGAACACTTTTACACTGTTGGTGGGACTGTAAACTAGTTCAACCATTGTGGAAGTCAGTGTGGCGATTCCTCAGGGATCTAGAACTAGAAATACCATTTGACCCAGCCATCCCATTACTGGGTATATACCCAAAGGACTATAAATCATGCTGCTATAAAGACACATGCACACGTATGTTTATTGCGGCACTATTCACAATAGCAAAGACTTGGAACCAACCCAAATGTCCATCAATGATAGACTGGATTAAGAAAATGTGGCACATATACACCATGGAATACTATGCAGCCATAAAAAATGATGAGTTCATGTCCTTTGTAGGGATATGGATGAAATTGGAAATCATCACTCTCAGTAAACTATCGCAAGGACAAGAAACCAAACACTGCATATTCTCACTCATAGGTGGGAATTGAACAATGAGAACACATGGACACAGGAAGGGGAACATCACACTCTGGGGACTGTTGTGGGGTGGGGGGAGCGGGGAGGGATAGCATTAGGAGACATATCTAAGGCTAAATGACGAGTTAATGGGTGCAGCACACCAGCATGGCACATGTATACATATGTAACTAACCTGCACATTGTGCACATGTACCCTAAAACTTAAAGTATAATAATAATAAAATAAAATTTAAAAAAATTTTTTTAAAGCATCCCATGTTTGGAAGATGCTGACCCGCTTGCCACTTTGCAGATTACATTTACTGTTCAAATTGTCACCCATTTGGAGTAAATGCTTCACATGCTTCACCTGGCCTCTGTATCCTGCTGGGTTGGTGGACAGATCCTCTGCTTCAGTCAAACGGGTAGATATAACATCCTTCGAGTCGTCTGTGTGGTACTTTCACCTACAGTTAAGGATGGGGTGTGCTGAGTGCTCAAACTAGCACCTACAACATTGATCAGTGTCTGCTAAATGATAACCACTATTAATATGAGCATGATTGCCTCTTCGAGAGACTGCAGAAAGAGATGTCACATGTGCTGGCATAAACCCCCTCTCCTGATGTTCCTGTCTCTGCATCTTACAGCCTGATCATGAGAATAGAAGAAAAATCAAGGTAAATGTGTTATTCAAAGTAGAGAAATGCCTGGGAATGAGTTTTGGGAGCCTCCATCATGTTGTGGGAAAGAACATTCTGGATTAGGGAATACAGAGACTTAAGGGTAGGGCCCAGCTCTGTATGTCCTTGGACAAGACACCTAGCCTCTCTGAGCCTCTAGCTCTGCTATGTTGAATAGGACAAAGGATCATTCTAGCCCTGCTCACTTCATGGAGCAGGCGGCAGGATCAGTGAGGTCAGGGATGTGGAAGGTGGAAGTGACAGTGACCTGAGGGGCTGCCATTATTATTGCTAGAGTGACAGTGATGAGGCAGAGTTGGAGAGATGCTCAGAGAGCTGGCAAATGAGGGAAAGATAGAGAGAGAGAAGAGTAACTCTATTGCCTTCACTGTCTGTCTTTTCTCCAGAGCTAACTCAGGCACATACAGTTGCTATAAATTTTCCTCCCAGCCTCTTCTCTCAACTGGGTTCAGCTCACACAGACTCTCTAAGGCTGCCGTGGTGGCAGCTGAGGTCCCAGTAGAGAAGCTGGAATAGTTACCTTGCAGCACCATAGGAAAAAGAGGGAGGACACAGGTGAGGGGCACGGCTGCTCAGAGTGAAGGGGGCCCATGGCTGAGTTGTGCTCAGCTCAGACCACACTGGGCTCACTGAGGGCCTGCAGCTCTGCATTGACCGTTGGTTCATCCCAGAGACATGTGCCCCAGGAGGGCCCTTCTCTCCACATGTCTTACTTCCTCTATGGAGGAGGAGATGGAATGAGATGCTCTTTTTAAAGGCACTCAGAATGTGAGTGACTTGATGAGAGTGGGTGGGGAATGTCTCATCCGTTTCTGCAGTCTCGAGCCCAGTAAGACAGGATGAGAGTAAATGTTTAATGCATGTTGGGTGAAATAAACGAGTAGATGGAAAGATGGATAGGTGGATAGACAGATGGACAGAACAACGGATGGATGGATACATGAACGGGTGGTGGATCAATGCATGAGTGGGTGGACAGATGGATAAAAGGACAGTTGGATGGAGTGAAGGAAAGCTTTAATACAGCAGGTCTGAGACAACTCTCCTGAGAGCCCTCCTTGCAAGGCTCACCCTTGGCTCACAACTGGGAAATTGGATTTTGGGAGGGTTTCCAAAGTTCCTAGAATTGATAAGAGTAGCTCACTATGGTTTATGTTAAATGTCCATTTTTCTTCTGAGAGTCTGGAATTTTGGTTTATTTTAGGCAGAGTGTGCCTACATGGCCCACCCCCGTAAAAACCTTAGGCACAGAGTCTCTAATGAGCTTCGCTGGCAGAAAACATTTCACACGTGTTGTCACAACTTGTTGCTCCAGGAATTAAGTGTGTTCTGTCTGACTCCACTTGGAGAGGATTGTTGGAAGCTTGCTCTTGGTTTCTCTGGACTTTACCTCATGCATCTTTTCTCTTTGCAGATTTTGCTTTGTATCTTGCACTGGAATAAATTCATGAGTGCAACTGTATACTGAGTCCTGAGTCCTCTCAGAGAATCAACAAACTTGGGAATGCTCTTGGGGACCCCAGTTACAGACAGATGGATGGATGGATGGACAGATAAACTAATAAATGGATAAATTAAAGGTAGATAGATGAGTGATGTCTGATAAGCTATTGATAAATGTATGGATGAGTAGATGAACAGGTGGATGGACAGACAGATGAATAACTAGGTGGATGGATGGACAGACAAATGACTAATAGGATGGGTAGATGTATGTATGTATGGATGGATGAATGGCATGCATGGAGGGTTAGCTGGATGGATGGATGGTTGGATGGATGGATAGATGAATGCAAGGATAGATGGATGGTTGACATGCATGCATGGGTGGATGGATGGATGCATGGATGAATTCATGGATGCATGGATGGATGGATGGATGGATGGATGGATGGATGGATGCATGGGTAGATAAATGGTTGGATGGATGGATGGGTGGATAGATGGTTGCATGGGTGAATAAATGGTTGGATGGATGAATAGACGGTTGGATGGATGGATAGATGGATGCATGCATGGATGGATGGTTGGCATGCATGCATGGGTGGATGGATGGATGCATGGATGGATGCATAGATGCATAGATGTTTGGTTGGTAGGATAGATACATAGATGGATGGGTGGTTTCATGCATAAATGGATGGATGGATGGATGGGTGGATGCATGAGTGGGTGGATGGTTGGCATGCGTGCAAGAATGGATGTATGGGTGGATGGATGGATGCATGAATAGATGCATGGGTGGTTGGATGATGTGTGTGTGTGTGTGTGTGTGTGTGTGTGTGTGTGTGTGTGTGAAGGGTTAGAAGGAGTGATCTAAATCTTTCAGATGCTCTAAAGGCCACAGATTTTAATGGCCACGAGAGTTCCTCAAAGGCTCAAGACTATTCACACCTAACTTATTTGTCAGGAATGAGTCAGCGCCTGGGGGATTTTTACTTGGCGAGATCAGAATTTAATATTGTCACCGCTTATATACTCATATGGGCACCTAGAGGATTAACTATATGCATAGTAGTGTCCGTGATGAATAGGAAGGTTGGTTTGGGGCATAAGCTCAGATTGCAGGAGCAAAAGGAGTAGAAAAATGCATCTGGTTTCTCAAATCTGTGGGTATTACTGGCCAACAGCACTACCAGCTTCCCAAAGACTGAATTTGTTTTCTCTGGTTTGGGTTTGACTCTATAAAAATATTTGGTCTTTATTTGAGATCTTTTGTTTCCTCTTGCAAGTATTAAATGTCTCTTTATGATTCATTGTTCTGGAGGAGTCATGGTGAGCATTGCAAACCCATTTTTTCCTGTTTTCTTTCTTGAATGATGAACTCTACTTTGATTAAACATTTTTATAATAATTTTCCTCTTAATTGAAAAGTGATTTTTAAAATGCATTTGGCAGAGGGGGACAGGGGATGTGTTAAAGTTACAGTCTCATTTATTCCTAATGAAGTGGAAGGGAAATGGAACCCAGGGGAGGAACAGGATGAAAAAAGAATACTGGAAAGTGATGGAACCAAAGGAGGAAAGAAAGAATACGATGAATGTGAGGGGGCTTTGAATAAGCATCTTGTTTTGTACATAAGCACTCGAGTTAGAAGAAATAGAGAAACTAACAGTCGGAGCTGCTACCTGGCCAAAGACCAATTCTCTGTGACTCAGAGGCACTGCCACCATCTCCCTCTGAGCCCATGGGCCTCAGTTTCTACATCTGTCAATGGGATGAAGCCATCTTCATATGGCTGCTGAGGGTCTCAGGAAATGATGAATGGGAAAATGCAAGCTGTAGGATGCTACACGTGGGGTGGGTGGGTGGCGTGAGGGGTGAAGAAGGTGGGGTGAGCTTCCAGACTCTCCTAGCTCTAAGAATCCATAAGTAATGAAAATACATGGATATGTATCACACTCACAGATTTATACTCTCTCACACAGTTACACATGCACACACCTCTCACACGGATTCTCACACATCTCACACAGCCACACCCTCTCTCACACACTTGCAGACTCATTATACACACTCTTCCACACCCATAGACACACCATTAAATACACACACCCTCACACAGATACCAACTCCTCACACACACACCTTCACACATGCTTCACACATACACACCCCCTCACATGCACACTCTCAACATCACTTCTCACACTCACCCTTAAACACATCTTTGCATGCACAGAACCCTCACACACACACTTTACACCCCCTTACACACACTCCATACACACACACCCCCTCACATGCACACTCTCAACATAGTGTCTCACACACACCCTTAAACACATCTTTGCATGCACGGAACCCTCACACACACACACACCTTCTCTCACACACACCCTCACACACACACTTTACACACACACCCTTACACACACTCCATCCACGCACACACCTTCACATGCACACCCTCAATATAGCCTCTCACACACACCTTTAAACACATCTTTGCATGCACACAGCCCTCACACACACACCTTCACACACACACCTCCCTTCACATACACTTTATGTACACACACATCCTCACACATACTCCATATACACCTTCACATGCACAATCTCAACATAACTTCTCACACACACCCTTAAACACGTTTTCACGTACATAACACTCACACATACCCCCTCAACATATCTTCTCACACACACCCTCAGACACACTCCATACACACACACACACCCTCACATGCACACTCTCAACATAGCTTCTTACACACACCCCTAAACACATCTTTGCATGCACATAACCCTCACACACACACCCTCACACAACCGACACACTCCATACACACAAACCCTCTCACACACACTGACACACTCCATACACACACATACACCCTCACATGCACATTCTCAACATAGCTTCTCACATACACCCTTAAGCACATCTTTGCATGCACAGAACCCTCCCACGCACACACACACACACCCTCACACACACCGACACACTCCATACACACATACACCCTCACATGCACACTCTCAACATAGCTTCTCACATACACCCTTAAACACATCTTTGCATGCACAGAACCCTCACACACACACACACACACACACACACACTCTACATATACACAAATGTAGGGTGCTACATGTAGGGTGGGTAGATGGGGTGAGCTTCTAGACTCTCCTAGGTCAGTCTAAGAATCCTAAGTGATGAACATACATAGATGTGTATCACACTCACAGATTTACACTCTCTCACACACAGTTACACATGCACACACCTCTCACATGCATTCTGACACATCTCACACAGCCACACCCTCTCACACACATGCAGACATACACACCCTTCCACACCCATAGACACTATTAAACACATCCTCACACAGACACCCCCAAATTCTCACACAAACACCTTCACACACCCCCTCACGTGCACATTCTCACACACAACCTTAAACACATCCTTGCAGGCACATAACCCTCACACACACACACACCCTCTTACATATAGCCCATATACACACACCCCTCACATGCACACTCTCAACATAGCTTCTCACACACCCTTTAACACGTTTGCACATACACAACCCTCACACACACACCTTCACACATGCACACACCCTCACACACTATATACACACACATCCTCACATGTACATGCTCAACACAGCCTCTCACACATACCCTTAAACAGATCTTTGCATGCACACAGCCCTCACATACACACACCTTCACACACAACCTCACACACATTCCCCAACAATCCGTCACATGCACACAAACTCTCATACACAGATGACCCACAATCCTCACATGTATTCGCTCTCACACATACCCTCACACATATGCACACAACCTCACACACACACCTCTCACACATATGCACACACACTCCTACTCCTCAGGTCCACACAGCCACCCCCCACACAGCCTCACACACATCATGTCCTTCAAATTAGCCACTTTGAGGGGTTCGGCCAAGCTATGGTGGAGAACAGAGTGTCTGCTCACTCTGCCACCAGGCCTCTGCCCCACGGATGCCCAGAAACTGCTCCTTCTGGGCTTCCAATGACCACATGGAACCAAATTTCAATGGACACACACATGCTTGTCACTCTCCTGACCCCTGGGTGATGTCTCTCTTTCTTCCCCATCCTTGGTATCTGATGACCCCAATCATGAACTTTGAGGTCCCCAAGCAAAGGGGCCCCTTCTGTCTTATTCATATGTGTATCCTCAGAGCCCGACGATCAATAAATATTTGCTGAATGAGACAGAACGAGGGTGTGAGGTGTGGAGAAAGAGATGATCGACCTAGGCTAGGGCTCGGGGCTCTGGGAGTGAGGTGCAGGGAGAGGATGTGAGGGTGCCCTTCTCAGCCAGTTTCAAGGCTTCCCTCCCTCCCCAGCTCTTGGCTAAGCCCTAGGCTCCTCCTGAGCCAGATCCTCCTCCCTATATGCATCTCATCCTTGCCTCCTCCTGAATGACCCCAAGTTTCGGTAATATTTGGAACCTGCCTCCAGCAGCCATTTCTGACTCACCTCTCAGGTCTTCCCGGGTCCCTCTGGAGTTTGGTGGGAAGGAACCTAACTTCGTTGGGAACCCAGGCCTTCTGTGATCCAATCCAGCCTCAATACACCCACACCACCATCTTCATTGCCCCAGTAGTTACTACGTGCAGGAACTGGGCTATGTGATTTGCACACAAATCCTCCCAACCATCTAGAAGGAAGGCCCTGGTGGCAGCCACATTCTAGAGTTAGGGAAACAGAGGCTCTAAGAGCAAAGTCTTTGGCTGAAGGTCAACAATGGGCAAGTGGTGATTCTGGGATTTGAACTCAGGCCCCCAGCTCTTCCTGGCCAAGTTTCCTCGACTTCCCACACTGGGTCTGGCACCCCCTTCTGGGCTTCCCCATCCAAGCAATGCACCTTCCTTGCTATCGTCATCTGTCCCCTCACATGCCTCCCCCACTGAGCCAAAAACTACTCAGGGGCAGTGGAGTGGACAACAGTGGTGTCTTTGCTAGGCTAGGGCAATGTCCCAGCTGGGAATTGCCTTAGGTCGGGAAGCTGGCTTGCCTGGGAGATGATGACACCTCCCCCACCTCCCCAACTGAGGACAGCCTAAGTCAATGACTGATGGACACAGGCGTACAAAAAACCGGTCTCCTTTTGTTTTCTGTGTCTACCACTTCATCATGAGGTCCTAGACCAATGCCTGGTGCGTAGCAGGAGCATAGTGAATGTTTGTTGAATGAATAAATGAATGTCTCTTCTTCCCCCCATCTAGACATCGGCATTTCTCAATTCCTATCCAGGTCTTCTCTAAATCTTCAAGGCCATCCTCTCCTTAACCTGCCAGGTATCCTCACCTGCTGTGTTCACCCCAGCTGGCCTTGACTCCATAGCAAAGTGCTTTGTCAGCTACCTGTACACCTCAGGAATTCAGCTGCATATAGGGGGTGAGAGGGAGTCTGAGCTGAGGGAGGTGGTGAGATCCCCACCCTAGCTCAACCTGGAACACTCTGCCTCTATCGATTTCCACAAGATTTTGTTTAGACGAAAGTGCTCTGCGCCTGCAAAGACTGAGAAGCCCTCTGACACGTTGTGTTTTCCTTCTGTCCCACCCACTCCCTTGATGGGGAGCACACCCTTCCTCACGCTGCCTCATCCAAATTTTGTAGAAAATTGCTTCTGTCCCATCTAAACTGGAACTCCTCAAGGAGGGCTGCAGCCTAGAGGTTGAAAGTGTGCACTCTGGAGTCACAAAGACCTTGGGCAAGTGATTTCACCCCTCCTAGCCTCCGTTTCTGTAGCTGTAAAATGGGAAAGTAATAGAACTAGTATCTGAGCACTGGGCAAGAGTTCAACAAGATTAATCATCTCAGGCCAGGTTCAGTGGCTCACGCCTGTCATCTCAGCTCTTTGGGAGGCCAAGGCGGGACGATCACTCGAGCCTAGGAGTTAGAGACCAGCCTGGGCAACATGGCGAAACCCCATCGCTACAAAAAATACAAAAATTAGCTGGGCATGGTGGCGTGCACACACCTGTAATCCCAACTACTCAGGAGGCTGAGGTGGGAGGATCACTGGAGGCTGGCGTGTTGAGGCTGCAGTGAGCTGTGATCGCACCACTGTACTCCAGCCTGGGCAACAGCACAAGAACCTGTCTCAAAAAAACAAAACAAAACAAAAAACAGAAGCTAAAACGCAAAACAAAAATAATGAATCATCTTGGGCCAAACACAGCGCCTGGCTCATGGCAAATAATAAATGGTACCTTCTAGTATTTGTTAAATTACCCAAGCAAGTGCCTTGGGCTTGCCTAGTAATTAATTATCAAAATTATCATACTTTCCTTTGGCAAAGGAAGTTAAACCATGGATGTATGTGAAGCTCAGTTTGCTCTGGTGTGGTTATTTCCCAGAGGCCTAAGAGGGTATGTGATAGTCATAATCCCTGGCCTCTAGCAAAAGCCACTAATTCTGGGTGGACACTGGAGATGTTCTGCATGGTATTGCCAAGTGGGGCCTCATCCTTTGCTACAAAAAGAATCCCATGTCCTGCTGTTTCTTAGACATCTAGATTTCCACTAGATCCAGGCGTAGTGTGCAAAGCCAGCTGAGAAAATTGGAAGAGGCCATGGTTTCTCATATCCCAGCTCTGCCCGTGTATCTGCCGCAGCTAGTACGGGGCTCACTCATAGTGTATCCTCAATAAATGCCGTGGAGTGAACAAAGGAATACAGGAATAAATGGATCTGAGATCTCCCATGTAATTTCAGCATCCGGCATTAGATGTTTCTTGATAAATATTTTTGGAATGAATGAATGCATTCTACGTTTGCCATCATATCCTCAGCGTTGGGCCTAGGTCCTGGCACAGAGGCCTCTGATGAATATTTATAGCAGAAATGAACTAGATCCACTGTTTCCCAGAAAGCAGCTGAGCTTCCCTTGCAGCTGCCCCCATCCCTTTCCTCTTGTCTCATACTCACAGTCCTCGGGTCCAGCCACCAGCCTGGCTTGGCGTTAGCCAGCTGGGAAAGGAATCTGGGAGAGAAAGCAAGTGAAACTCCCCAAGATGCACAATTGGGAGAGTCTCTAGCCAGCTCTCCAGGAAGCTCTGGGGGCGCTGCTCTTGGGAAACACCCCCAAGATAGACTGAGCTGGAAGGAGCCGTCTGCAGTGATTCTGTGACACTGTCACGGAGCCCTCCTCTGCATGGCTTTGGCATCAAATGCAACCACACACACACACACACACACACACACACACACACACAGAGCAGGCACTATGCCCTGCTGGACAGAATGGGCTGCAGGGATGTGCATGACCAAAATGCACCCCAGACAGCATGTGCACGCGGAAGGACACTCAGCGATGTGCACCCCAGATAGCACGCGCATGCGGACGGACACTCAGTGATGTTCCATCTCCCCAGGCCAGGCCCTGCCATCCTATCTCAAACACACTTTGCCTCCACCAAGGCAGGCAGTGGCCACAGACCACCAGGTGGTACCACCAAGTGATAACACTGTCTGTCACCACGAGGGACCCTCTCATGGATAACGGAACCTCTCCCAGCCAGGAGCTGAGGCTCAGCGTTTACAGACAGTGCAGGCTCAAGGACGACTCATGTGTCCCCCCCACTTCCTGGAGGCACTGGTGAGCTTTCCCTGTGTCCCCCCCACCCCAACATCTGTCCCATGAGCAGGCAGCCACCTCCTCCTCTGTCCCTGCTGGGATCAACTCTCCACAAGGAACCAGGAGGTGGCTGAGATCCTGCAGAGTGGCCCTGTGTGCAGGCTGCACTGGTGCCCCTAAAAGCATCTGTGGATCCTGGCCAGGGCCCTCCTTGGCCCTCAGTCGTGCTCCAGGACATGTGGCCCTCTGAAGCGCGTGGCCTCCCCCTCAGCTCCGGCCTCCAGTACAGCAGCCTCTCCACGCCTGCTTCCCACAGGGGTCTCATGCCAGCCGAGCAATGGTGCCACCCACAGCATGAGCTCTGAGGCTGGCAGGTTGGAGGGACCCAGGCTTAGAGTCCCAGACAGGCCAGCAGGGAGAACCAGCTCTGTTGGGGGTAATGAGGGCAGAGTGGAAACCCTAAAGCCTCAACTGTGCCGACTGATCCCTCCTTCACCCATCAGGTCTCCTGACACTGTCTGGGGGGAGCCCCTGCGGCTGCGTGACTGGAGGGGAAGGACACGGGGCTGGCCTGTGGTCCCCTTGTGTACCCTTAATGTAAGGCTGAGGTGACGGGGTCAGGGATGCTGTGAGGCCCTGTAACGCTTCAGGAAAATGAGCCCTACGGTAAGCCTCCACCCCATGATGCCCAGCTCGGGCACACCAGGTCCTCCTGCCTGGGGAGCTGAGCCCCCGCCTGGGTACTCACCAGCTCCGGCAAGGCCTCACCCTGGCATGGTGGCGGTCACCCCCTCTCAGACAGTGCTCCCCATCTGGAGAGGCCAGCGGCACTAATCAGCCGCCTGGCGTGGTGCAGGCCGAGCGACTGGGGTTTAATTGACACCAGGTGGCCCCTCCCCAGGGGCAGGCTGGGAGGCGGCTCTGCTGGGTTGGGAGGCCAAGCCTTGGGCAGGGGGGTTGCACCCAGACCAGGCCAGTTCAGGCTTCCCTGGGAGAGACAAGGGCAGTCAGGCAGTCACCGGCCACCCCTCCCTTCCTCTCCTGCCGGCTGCCTCCATGGCATGGCCCTGGCTTCCCCAGGCTCTGACCTTTCTTTCATTTAGAGGTGGCAGCAGCAGTGGCAGCGTCTGCCCAGGAGGAGGGTGGCTCAGGTTTCCCCCCAGCTGGCTGGGGACAGCCAGGATCGAGTGCACTGTGTCTGCAGGGACCAGGCTGTGCCCGCCGGATCCTGAGTGAGGCCACCCACGGCAGTCACAAAGGATCCCATGAACTACCTTTTATTGCACACTTACTATGCACCAGGCCAGGCATGGTGCCCACACTGTCCCCTCTTAAATCTCATGTGTCCCCAAAAGGTGGGCATTTATTAACCCACTTTGCAAGATGAGGAAACGGAGACTCAGAGAAGCTAAGCTTCTTCTCCAAGGTCACACAGTAGAAGAGCCAGAACACACATTCAGCTGTATCTGACATTGAGTCAGGGATTTTCATGGCCACCTGCAATATAGATAATGTCATCCCCATTTTTGAGATGAGGAAATTGAGGCTTAGAGAGGGGATGCCAGTTTTCAAAGTCACACAGCAAAGTACGGAACGTGGATTTGCCACCAGGTGTGTTGGGGCAGGTTGCCAGGGAAAGTAAAGTCCACTGCTAAAATACAAGCCTTCTTCCCTGACTCACATGTGTTCCTGCTTATATTAGGGCTCCAGGTTTGAGCCACAGTTTGGGGTTTAGGAGAAAGAGCACTGGACATAGAGTCAGAAAACCTGTGCCCAACTTGCTGTGTGACCTTGAGCAAGTTACTCCACCTCTCTGGGCTTGGCTGCAGCTGCTGTGAACCCCAAATGGGACATCACATGGAAAAGGCTTTGTGACTTGGGTTCACAGGGCAGGATGAGGGAGTACCAAAGTAGCCCCACTCTGCCCTGGGAGCCCTTGCCAAAGGCCCCCAACCCTGTTCTTTGTCTTTACTGCCAGCAGCGGGACTCAGCAGTGAGGAGTACACAGGTTCCGCAAGTGCACAGGGTTCAGATCCTGGCTCTGATTTGAGTCTCACAAACTGCGTGACCTTCAGAAGTCATTTTACTCTCTAGTCTCAATTTCTCCTTTCTAAAAATGTGCTCCCGGGCGCTCCCACCCTGCCTGGGCTGCGTGAAAATAAATGAGATAATACTCAGCACCTGCCTTTTTATTCAACAACATTTATTGAGCACCTACGAGACATGGGTCACTGTGCTGGGGATATAATTTTTACAGGAACAATATTCTTGTAAAAACAGTCAGTTGGCCAGGTGCGGTGGCTCACACACTTTGGGAGGCAGAGGCGGGCAGATCACCTGAGGACAGGAGCTCGAGACCAGCCTGGCCAAGATGGTGAAACCCTATCTCTACTAAAAATACAAAAAAATTAGCCGGACATGGTGGTGGGCACCTGTAATCCCAGCTACTCAAGAGGCTGAGGCAGGAGAATCACTTGAACCTGAGAGGTGGAGGTTGCACTGAGCCAAGAACATGCCGTTGCACTCCAGCCTGGGCAACAAGAGTGAAACTCCGTCTCAAAAAACAAACACACAAACAAAAAAAACCCCAAAAAACCAAAGTCAGTCACTCATGCCCCTGTGGTGGAGACAGACAAATGTAAAACCCCCACAAAAATAAATATTAATTCCTTGTGTTATGTGCTCAGCAAATAGAAGTAGCTATTATTGTTGTTGTTCACGCATTTATTCCACAGAAGAACTCACTGAGCACCTATTATGTGCCAGGTACCCTTCTAAGCATTGGGGATATAGCAGTGACCAATGCAGACATGGCTGTCCACTTTAATAATTAACCGTGACAATAAATAGCAATAATTAGCCATGACAACATATAACAATAATAATTATTATATTACTATTCTCAGGCAATGCAGGTTCTCCCCAACACATTGGATGCCCTGGTTTTCTCACTGGTAGAATTACATACCTGTCTGCTGCCATCTGGCCCTCTGGGAGCTCCAAGCTAGAGCATGGGATTCCAGAATGTTCTTAGGTCTGATCCTCAGTGAAGCTCATGGGCTCTTTTTGGTCTGACTTGCGGGCACTCTGGCAGGCGCTCATCCCCCTGGCATAGACCCAGACCCCACGTGGGTTGGGAGAAGCTGAGCCTGTGACTCAGCCAGCCTGGCTTGTCAAGCAGAGATGAGAAGGGAGCAAGCAGCTGGCTGGGCTGTTAGCCATGGGGCCCTCCCAAGCCAGGCATAGGGCAGGTGCCTGGGGGACAGAGTGGGGCTTTGAGATGACAAGGGAAGGGCTCTAAGCTCAGGTGACTGCACCCTGGTGGTGGTGGCTGTCTCTAGTAAAGATAATTTTTTTTAGAAGGAGTCTCGCTCTGTTGCCCAGGCTGGAGTGCAGTGGCACGATCTCTGCTCACTGCCACCTCTGTCTCCCAGGTTCAAGCAATTCTCCAGCCTCAACCTCCCGAGTAGCTGGGATTACAGGCATGCACCACCATGCCTGGCTAATTTTTTTGTATTTTTCATAGAGACGGGGTTTTGCCATGTTGGCCAGGCTGGTCTCAAACTCCTGACCTCAGGTGATCCACCTGCCTCAGCCTCCCAAAGTACTGGGAATACAGGCATAAGCCACCACGCCTGGCTAAGAATATTCTTATAAGAATCACAGAGTATGCTGCCTTGTGAGCGAATGAGCTTCTCATCAATTAAATAACTCCAGCAGGATGCTATAAAGGGGACTCCAGAATTGCCTGTTCATCTGTCAGATGTATCCACCAGACTGAGCTCTACCTTCTGGGTCTTGTTTACACCATCATACCTCCAGTGTGTGGCACAGAGCACATCACATAGCAGTCGGCAAATATTTCTTATATTCATATATGCACAGATCAGAATGTTCTTTCTGGCTTTGACCACATGAGACTTTGACAACAAGTAGCCCTGCCATTTTATTCATTTGTCTCTTCATTCAACAAATATATCCTGAGCACCTACTATGTGCTGTCTCCTAGGCACTGGGGATATAGTAGTGATCAAGACTGATAAAAATTTCTGCCTTCGTGAAGTCTACCGTCTCACGATTGGAATTTCATTTTTATTTTTTAGAGACGGGGTATTAGTCTGTTCTCACACTGCTCATAAAGACATACCCGAGACTGGGTAATTTAGAAAGGAAAGAGGTTTAATGGACTCACAGTTCCACGTGGCTGGGGAAGCCTCAAAATCATGGTGGAAAGTGAAGGAGGAGCAAAGTCACGTCTGACATGGCGGCAGGCAAGAGAGAGCTTGTGTAGGGGAACTACCATTTATAAAACCAACAGATCTCATGAGACTTATTCACTATCATGAAAACAGCATGGGAAAGACTCACCCCCATGAATCAATGACCCCCCCATCGGGTCCCTCCCACAACATGTGGGAGTTATGGGAGCTACAATTCAAGATGATATTTGGGTGGGGACACGGCCAACCCATATCAGACAGGGTCTTGCTTTGTCACCTAGGCCGGAGCGCAGTAGTGTGGTCATGCCTCACTGCAGCCTCAAACTCCTGGGTGATCCTCCCACCTCAGCCTCCTGAGTAGCTGGGACTATAGGCATGTGCCACCGCGCCTGGCTAATTTTTTCATCTTTTTCAGAGATGGGGTCTCACTCACGACTGGACTTTTAACTAGGTAATTTCCACAGGTGTTAATCCTGTTAATCACAGTGATAGCCATTGCCTTAGGTTTCTGAACCTTGGCCCTGTTAACATTTGGCTGGATGACTGTGGCAAGGAGCTGTCCTGTGCATTGTACGATTTTAACAGCGTCCCTGGCCTCTACCCACTAGATGCCAGTAATAACCTCCCTTCCGCCTCCACTTATGACATCCCAAAATGTCTTTAGACAGTGCCAGTGACCCTGAAGTAGTAATAACATTGTCCCTGGTTGGAAATCATAGTCATCTATTAAGCACCAACTATGCAACAGACACTTTGCATTCATTAATTTACTTAACCTCTAAAATAACTCCAGGAGGCAGGGATAATTACTATTTCCATTTTACAGAGGAGGAAACAGGAAAGACCAGTCACTTGCTTATGGTTCCCAATCGGTGCACCTAGCCCTCTGATGCGCGGCTTCCAGCACCTCCCATGCTGAGCCCATGCGCAGCTGCATAGACCAAGCCTAGAGCAGCGAGTCTCTTTCCTGGACTTTTGCAGATTTCTCTTCTGGTTCTACTCTGTGGCCTCTTGCAGAGCACAGGGATTGGGACCTTCAGAGAAGCAGCGACCACCAGAAAAATACTGCAAGCTGCAGATATAATTGTAAGTTTTCTAGTAGCTGCATTCAAAGGTAAAAAGAAACAGGCAGCATTAATTACAGTAATTAATACACTTTAATCCAGTATCATTGAGAACTATCATGTCAGTGTGTAATTAATTAAAATTTATTAATGAGACAGTTTAGTCTTTTTTGGCACCTCATTGAAATCTGGTGTGTGTTTTGCACTTGCAACTCAATTCAGATCAGCCACATCTCAAGGGTTCAGTAGCCACGTGTGGTCAGTGGCTCCCGTTTGGGGAATGCCGATCTGGAAAGTTTTGCTGACTGAGGGAATGAAGACAGGAGGCAGGATATTCTCAGCAAAATGGGCAAGGTGTCCCTGAGCCCACAGATCCTAAGGGTTGCCACACTCTACTGTCACTTTCCATTACTTGTCTGTCTCTAATGCTCGGCTGGGCTCCTCTGTGTTTATCTGTCTTTCTGTCCCTGGAGCTGAGCTCCACTGTGGGCCTTTGTAGGAGAGGCAGTTTGGAATCAGAGTGGCTGGAATCAGAGGCCAGGGTGCCATCCTGGCTTTATCATACAGGAGCCTGAGCCAGAGCCTCAGTTTCCTCATCTGTGAATTGGGGATGAATTGCTATTCCCTAGAACTTCCTGCCGTAATGGACACATGGACACCAAGGTGGTAGCCACTAGCCACGCGTGGCTATTAAACACTTGAAATATGGCTGGTGTGACAGAGGAACTGGTTTTCAAATTTTATTTAATTGTAATTAATTTAAGTGGAAGTAGCTGCCTGTGGTTCGTGGCAGTTGCATTGGACAGCACAGCTTCAGAGAGTTACTGGAGGATTAAGTATAAAGCCCCATAGCACAGAGCAGGCGTTCAGCACCTGGTGCCTTATCCCCCTGGTGGGTGGGTCCTCAATGATTGTTTGTGGAGGTCCCCTTGAGGGTTCAGCTGACTGCTGATGGTGACTGAGAGGAAATTGCCCAAGGCTGGGGACACCATCTGAGGGGATTAGAGGAAACAGCCTCTCACACAGTCCTGGGAAGAGTGCCTGTTGCTACGAGCCAGACTGGAAAGCCTCATAATTCACAGAGCATCGGTCAGATTCTTCAGAAGGGTCTTGCCTGAGTAGTGGGAAATAATTAGCCCTAAATGAAATGCAGCCCTGAGTCTGTCTAACACTCTTAAAAGCAATGATTTAGGAGCACAGTTTGGCGTTCAGACCCCAGTTCAAATCCCAGCTCTGCCTGCTGTATTACCTGCTGTGTGACTTACAGCAAATCAGTCCTCTCTAAGCCTCAGTTTCTTCACCTCTCAAATGGGCATGCATAACAACAGTGCTTACCTCATGGGGCCTTTGAGGGGACTCAATGAGCCCTCAGCAACTTTCAATAAATGGTAACAATTATTGCTGTTTGATTGCAATGGAATGCAATGGAATTTATGTTTAAAACATGCTTGGTGGATGGGCTCGTGGCTCGCGCCTGTAATTCCAGCACTTTGAGAGGTCAGGTTGGGTGGATCACTTGAGGTCAGTAGTTCAAGACCAGCCTGGCCAATATGGTGAAACCCTGTCTCTACTAAAAGTACAAAAATTAGCTGGGCATGGTGGCATGTGCTTGTAATCCCAGCTACTCAGGACACTGAAGCAGAAGAATCGCTTGAACCCAGGAGGTGGGTGTTGCAGTGAGCCAAGATTGCACCACTGCATTCCAGCCTGGGCAGCAGAGTGAGACTTCGTCTCAAAAAAAAAAAAAAAAAAAAAAGTGATCCTATGACAATTACAGGAGCGGTTGTTAGAATGTTAGAAGCAAAAGCCTGCAGAGGTGGGGGAAGGGCACACATACATGGCAACCTCTAAGAGTCCCAAGTCAGTGAGACCAAGAGCGGCGGTTCAAACCCCTGGTATCCAAGTCCAGAATCCAGGGACTCTAAAAAAACATTTTAAAGTTGATACATAGTATTTGCACATATTTATGGTGTAGGTGCGATATTTTGTTACATGCGTAGAATGTGTAATGATCAAAGTGGCCCCCAAACACTTGTCTATGAACTGTGGTCTCCACCTCACTGGTATTTGGAGAAATGAGAAAATATAAGAGCATTTACATTTTTATTCTTCAAATTAAGGCCCTACTAATCTTGGGGTAATAGATTGCCTTTCTTTTATAAAACAATGTTGATACTACGTTGGAAAGATCTTGTTTTTGTTTTGCTTTGGTTTTTTTAATGTCTTTACTTGGCAAAATAAAAAGCTGAGACAATATATCAGTATCTCTGAAGTTTCTTTTTTTTTTTTTTTTTCCTTTCATCTAATGGTCCAGGAAACATGGACTATTAGGCTGCCTGGTTTGTAAAAGTTCTCAGAATATACTTTGAATTTTTCCCATGTCTGAGTGTAGTGTTTCTCAAAGCATTCCATGGAGCATGAATCCACCAAGATATAGTGAAAAAAGGGTTCTGAAGCCAAGTAAGTTGAGAAACCTACCTACTCTAGCCTCTCCTAAGGGAGTTATAATGTTCATGGGCATATTAAAAACTGACAGGCTGGGCACAGTGGCTCACGCATGTAATCCCAGCATTTTGGGAGGCTGAGGTGGAAGGATTACTTGAGGCCAGGAGTTGGAGACCAGCCTGGCCAACATGGTGAAACCCCATCTCTACTAAAAATACAAAAATTAGCAGGGTGTGGTGGGTGGCACATGTCTGTAATCTAGCTTCTTGGGAGGCTGAGGCAGGATAGTCTCTTGAACCCGGGAGGCGAAGGTTGTGGTGAGCTGAGATCACACCACTGCACTCCTGCTTGGTCAACAGAGCAAGACTGATATGATTTGGCTGTGTCCCCACCCAAATCTCAACTTGAATTGTTATCTCCCAGAATTCCCACGTGTTGTGGGAGGGACCAGAGGAGGTAGTTGAATCATGGGGGCCAGCCTTTCCTGTGCTGTTCTCATGATAGTGAATAAGTCTCACAAGATCTGATGAGTTTATCAGGGCTTTCTGCTTTGCTTCTCTCATTTTTCTCTTGCCACCACCATGTAAGAAGTGCCTTTTGCCTCCTGCCATGATTCTGTGGCCTCCCCAGCCATGGGGAACTGTTAGTCCAATTAAACCTCTTTTTGTTCGCAGTTTTAGGTATGTCTTTATCAGCAGCATGAAAATGAACTAATATGAAGACTCTGTCTCAAAAAAAGAAGAGTGACAAGTCCTGCTGCAAAGAGCCAACTTAACTTAGTTTCACTTAGTGCCCTTTTTCTTATCTTTCTTTTTCTTTTTTTTGAGATGGAGTTTTACTCTTGTTGCCCAGGCTGGAGTGCAATGGCGCCGTCTCGGCTCACTGCAACCTCCGCCTCCCTGGTTCAGGCAATTCTCCTGTCTTAGCCTCCTGAATAGCTGGGATTACAGGCACCCACCACTATGCCCGGCTAATTTTTGGTATTTTTAGTAGAGAGGGAATTTCATTATGTTGGCCAGGCTGATCTCGAACTCCTGACCTCAGGTGATCCACCAGCCTTGGCCTCCCAAAGTGCTGGGATTACAGGTGTGAGCCACCATGTCCGGCCCCTTTTGCTTTTTGACCATATTCACTAACCTCCCATGAACACATTTCAGGAAAACTCCAAGTCCTGGATGAAGCCACTGATCTTGGAGCTTAAGGATGTGTGTTTCCTTGTTTGGCTTGTTAGCTGCTGAGATGACATTTTCCATGTTCATAAACCCCCAGGGGAGCTCCAGGAGTTATAAATGGTGCAGGAAAAACAATGACCCAATTGTCAAACACTACTGTAATTTGGAGCCCTGGGAAGGGCAGGGACTTACATTTAGAGCTGGACCTGGACACTCCCAGCTGCCTGCCTGCAGCCATGGAACAAGCAACTCACCCCAGGGGCAACCATTGCAGACTGCTTAGACAAACAGTTACTGTTGGGCATGTTTTGGAAACTAATGTTAATGTCAGGTCAGGTGAGGCCTGCAGGGACCCAGCCCCAACCAGAGGGCAGTGGTGGCCAGAGGTAGTGGGGAGGGATTGGCGTGTGAGAGTGTGTGGGGTGAGCAGTAGGAATTTACATGTCCTAAAGTTGAGCAAGTGTGGATGTGGGTGTGCATGTGGACGATAGAGTATCTCTGTGCACACGTGTGTGTGTGCATGTGTGAGCACATGGGTCAGCTCCCGGAAGGTAAGGCGGGGACTTGAGGGTGGGGCCACCTCTGGAACCTGTAGGCCTATGAGAAGAGGGTCCCAGCCAGGAGTGAGAGTCCCCGCTTTGGCCAACTCCACCCTTACCTGGAGCTCCAGCCACCTGCACAGGCCATACCTGCCTCACCCTGGACATGACCCTACCTGAACTCCCTGGAGCCTCCTGGAAGATGTATGAAATGCTCAAGGGGGACATGGACCTTTCCCCAGAGCTCATTTCAGGATGGGGGAAGAACTGCTTGCACCGTGCATGTGGGGTTTGCACGGCTGACCACATCAACTGACTGGCCACCTCTGGACCACCACTGCCTATGAGCCTAAGCCCCAAATTTTAGCCTGGCATTCGAGGCCCTCAACAAACGTCCCCCATCCAAGTCCCAATGCTGCTTCCCAGAATGCCCTGAACTAAAACATGCACTGAAGTCTTACTCTGTGCTAAACACTGAAAGTTTTTTACATTAAGTCAATGAGGATTCACAATTTTTTGAAATAGGCACTTTCATGATTTCCATTTTACAGATGAGCGGGCCAAGGCTCCAAGAGGTGAAATGACTTACCCAAGGTCACACAGCGGCTAAGTGGTGTTTTGGCCACGACACAAACTCATATCGGGGATTTCCTGACTATGCATACAAGATGCTCCTGCTCAGAGGTGGCGGCAGACTCCCTGAGGTTAGTGTCTTTGGTTTGCTTTTCGGAAAATGTGACCGTGCAATTGACGGGAGACCCAGGTTCAAATCCCAGCTCTGGCCCTTTCTAGCTGTGTGGCTTTGAGCACATAGCACATGTCTCTGAGCCTTGGCTTCTGCAACTACAGAATGGGGATGACTGTTTTCAACTCCAAGGGTCTTGACTAAGCTGGGCAATGTCTGAATGAATGATCATTAAATGTGTGAGCTGGTAGCATCCCTGGCCCTGTGCCCACTGCATAGAAGGTGTTTAGGAATGCTGGCTTAGATTTCAGTCTGTCCCTTAGCAATTTACATCACTTCTCTTGCTGCGTCTGTAAAGTGAAAGCAGATGACTTGCTCTCCAACCAAGGTCTTTCAGTTCTTCCGTGAACACTGTCCAATTGCTCCCCACTGTAACCCAAGCCCATGTGCCCCACCATGTCCTGTACTTGCAGGATTTCTCAACCCCAGCACCACTGGCATTTTGGGCTGGATAATTCTTGTTGTGGAGGGCTGTCCTATGCATTAGAGGATTTGAACAGCATCCTGGGCCTCTAGCCATTAGATGCCGTTAGCATCCCTCAGTTGGACATTGCCAAGTTCCCCGGGGGAGGTGGGGGGGGCAACATCGTCCCTGGTTGAGAAGCATTGATTCATTGCAATGGCTTTTCGTTGCCTCTTGTCTTCCCTGGAAGTCATCAAGAATTGCAATTCAGGCCAGGAGAGGTGGCTCACACCTGTAATTGCAGCACTTTGGGAGGCTGAGGCAGGAGGATCACTTGAGCCCAGGAGGTCAAGACCAGCCTGAGTAACACAGAGAGACCTCTGTCTTACAAAAAATAAACAAAATTAGCTGGGCATGGTGGCACGCACCTGTAGTCCCAGCTTCCTGGGAGGCTAAGGTGGGAGGATCGTCTGAGCTCGGGAGGTTGAGGCTGCAGTGAGCTGAGATGGTACCACGGCACTCCAGCCTGGGCAACAGAGTGAGGCCCTGTCTCAAACAAAACAAAACAAACAAAAAAACTGAATTGCAGTTCAGAGCATGGGCCCCAGATTCAAATGGTCTGGGTATGAATCTTGGCTCCACACTTCCCACTGTGTGATGCTGAGCAAGTCACTTAACCTCTCTGAGCCTCAGGAGCTTCATCTGCATAACAAGAACAATATAGCATTTGCTGCATGGGACCATGGTAAGGGTTAAGTGAGATGACAAATGTAATGTGCTTAGCACTGTTCCTGGGAACTGAATGATGGGAGATGGGAGATGTGGGTGGGCTCTGGAGAGTCTCATTCTGGGCAAAGGTGAAGAGGAGTCCAGGACTAGAGGGGTTTCAGAGGCCTTGTCCCTGCTACCCAGGCAGCTGGGCAGGCACCTCATCTGTGCCTGTGTTTCTGGTTACCAGGCACTTGCCCTGAAGCCTGTGCACAGAGGTTAATGAGCTGTTTAGTTCCGATTACTCGCAAGGTTTCCCTCACTCAGCTCAGCACCTGCTGTGCCTGATTGATGGCGACCCCAAGGCCACAGAAGACCACAAGCCAGAACCAGGATAATCAATTAGTTCCAGGCCCCAGGAAAGACTCTTCCCCTTCTCTTATGCCTGCAAAAGGAGAGAGGAGGATGGAAGGTTCTGGTATTGTTTCACACCGCCTCCCCACGTCAACACTCTCCCAGAGATTAATGTCAGATCTGGGCTTGAAATAGCTAATGTGTATTGATTGTTTATGCCAGGAATTGTGCTACATGTTTTACCTGCTTTTAATCCTGACCATAACTCTCTGAAATGAATGTAGTTATTATCCCAATTCTACAGTAAAAAAAAACTGAGGTTCTGACAGTTGATGTCATTGCCCAGTTGGGTCACCCAGCTGGTCTGAGTGAGATAGCCCAGGACAGACATGCAGATACTGTAGGAGACTTTCACTTTTTGCAACCTCAGTTTCCCCTTGTGTAAAATGGGCCAACTCATACACCCACCCCATCTGAACGTGGTAAGTGGGAAGAAATCATGCTTGTGAAGGTGTGTCGAAAAGTTTACAGTGCTAGATACCAATTGCTGTTCTCTGAGAGAGAGATTGAGGGTGAGACAGATCTGGGTTAACTCAGCAGAGATTTGCATTCTAGGGTGCAGACGGTCACTCACCGTGGAGTTTGCCCTTAGGCACTAATGTTAGAAATGAACCACAGTCATACTTTTCTTTTTTCTTTTTTCTTTTTTTTTTTTTTTGAGACAGTCTCACTCTGTCGCCAAGGCTGGAGTGCAGTGATGCGATCTTGGCTCACTGCAACCTCCACCTCCCAGGCTCAAGAGATCCTCTTGCCTCAGCCTACCAAGCAGCTGGGACCACAGGCACCCACCACCATGCCTGGCTAATTTTTTTGTATTTTTAGTAGAAACAAGGTTTCACCATGTTGCTCAGGCTAGTCTTGAACTCCTCCTAAGTTCAAGTGACCCACCTGCCTCGGCCTCCCAAAGTGCTGGGATTATAGGTGTGAACCACCACGCCCAGCCTAGCAATAAATATTCAAACTAGCAACTCATGTATTTAAGAACACTTACTGGGTGCTGGTCACTGCTCCAAGTACTGATGTTAATTCATCTAAGCCTCATAACGCTGGGAGGTAGGTACTACAGGTACAATAATTATGCCCATTTACAGATGAGACAGTGGAGGCTCAGAGCAGCTAAGTGACCTGGCCAGGGCAATATAGCTTGCATATGGCAGTGCTATTTAACAGAATTAGACTCCAGCCTGTCAGTCTGCTCCCTTCCAGCGCATGCTGAGAAGAACTTACCAGGACAGATGAGGCCAGTTCTTCCATCTCTCAGCAGCAGCTCCTCAAGGGAGGGGCCTGGGAGTTCCAGTCAGATTTGCCGGATAGCCTGTTTCTCCATCTTCAGTTATTCTGCTGTCGAATGAGTTGAATAGTCCCAGCCTCACTGGTTTTCCAGGTCAGGTGAGATCTTGTTTCATAAAAGCACTTTATAAAGTGGCTTTTAAAAATCCAAGGTACTTAGAAGCCCATCATGCTGTGTGTGGCCCCAAGAGGGCTATGAGTTTTGGGTTCTGAACTTGGGGTGGGCCAGTTACTTCATCCCTCTGCACCCAGCCTTCACATCTATAAAATGGAATTGTGTGGTTGTGGGGATTAATCTGGGCACAGATCACATGCTCAGTGTGGAGAGCTGTAGTTGTGTGCACATCCGTGTATATTTCTGCATTCACACGACGAATTCACGGACGAATTTCTGCATTTGTCCCTAGGGGAGAGAATGCATTTTTGCCGGGCTGGCTGGAAGAATACTTGGCCAGACTGTGATAACTTGGATTACGGTGCAGGAAACATTCACTTCCTTCCCCCTCCCACTCTGGGTGGAGTTTACAATACTGTCCTATTGAAAGGCTCAGTTATTTGACTTGCTTGACCCAATGAAATGTTAGTGCATATGGTTTGAGATGATGTCATGAATGTGTCTCTACAGGCTGGTTGGCTTTTTTTTTTTTTTTTTTTTTTTTTTGAGACAGGGTCTTGCTCTGTCACCCAGGCTGAAGTGCAGTGGCACAATCATGGCTCACTGAAGCCTCAACTTCCCAGGCTCAAGTGATCCTCCCACTTCTGCTTCCTGAGTAGCTGGGACTACAGGTGACTGCTGCCATACCTGGCTAATTTTTTTTTTTTTTTTTGTAGAGATGAGGTTTCGCCATGTTGCCCAGGTTGGTCTCAAACTCCTGGGCTAAAGCAATCTGCCTGCCTCAGCCTCCCCAAGTGCTGGGATTACAGGCTTAAGCCATCATGCCCAGCCTTGTTTGGCTCATATGTTCTGATGATCTTTCATGGGAAGAGCATGCCCCAGGGAGTTTCTTCTTCAGCCTGGCCCCTGAAACAGGGAGACATGTGGAGCTGACTTGAACTTGACCTGAAGCCTAAAGAGGAGCCTCTTAGGTAAACCCAACCTAGAATCGCAGACCCACGAGCACGAGGATAAATGTTAGCTGTTGTAAGCTATGGAGTTTGGGGGAGGCTTGTTACACAGCATTACCGTGGTGATAGCTGGCTGATACAATGGCCAATGTCATAATTCAAGCTTCTTTCTGTACAACAGACAACAATAGAATTCAGACCTGTCTTGGCAGTAGTGCAATGCAGTAATTCTCAAATTTTTTATTGGCATAAATAATTCAGACATTGGTTTCTCACTAAACATTGCACTAAACACAAGAAACAACAGGCTTGCTGGCTCAGAGGCACACAAACTGTCCAACAGCCCAAGTTAGAAATACTTTTTTTAGAAGTGTAGAAAACTTTATAAATGATTCTGTACAAATATACACAGTGGACCCTCCATCCATCTGGCCTTTCTTTCCTGGATGGCATCTGAATAGAGTGTTCCTTCTCAGCAACAAGACATTGGCAACAAGTGAGAAAGAGAGAGACAGAGACGGAGACAGACAGAGATAGAAACGGAAAGGAAAAGAAAGAAGTGGCCCCCCAAAAGAAAACATGAAACCACCTTCTTACATCAACTCACTCTGCAACAGTCGACACAAACAAACATGGAGAAAAGAATATGGACCATCGGTCCGCGTTGGTCTGTACAAGAATTAGTCTTTATATATATAATATATATGTATAATATTTATAGGTCTATATACTTTGTGTATAGAAAAAGATAACAGCATAATTTACATATAGAGAAAGCCTTTTTACAATTGAGGAATTTTCCTAAGGTCAGTAACTTCAAGAGTAATCAATCAAATTAATCATGCGTTAAGTCTGTCGAGTGGATCCTGGTACAAGATCAAGTCTCAAAGAGAGCGAGAAATGAGAGGCTTGGGGTGGAAACGTTGACCACCTAAGTCTGGGATCTTCTCTGCCTGGTCCAGGTATGGTCAAGGGCACAGATGTAATGTGACTTGCCTTATCTGCCCCAGTCAACTTCTGCTTTGGGATAGGGAGGAAGAATGTTCTGTTTCTATGAGGGCCTTGGTGGGGTGGGGGCTGGTCTTGCCAGAGACTCTCTCACATCCTAAGAGACCTCTGCCTTGTAGACGGGGGGAGGGGGTGTCCTTATGACACTTGGGCATCCCTCCCCATGTTCACCAGGACACAAATATCTAAATAAATGGGTAACACCCACCACCTCGCTATTCTAGTCCCTTATTTTTCAGGAATGTCCCCCTAGAGGTGGGATTCTGGGGGAGGTTCATTTGGGTGATTGAGAAGAAAAGCCACATTGATGAAGCACCTACTGTGTGCCAGGTATTGCGTAACGTTATTGACATTCATTATTTCATTCACTCCCTCCAATAAACTCAAGGGTTAGTGATATATTAAGTGCTCGTGGGTTGCACAAAGCTAAGAAAATTCAAGGAATACTCTGGAGGGGCTGCTGATGCTGAGAAAGTGTTGATGAAATCATTATCCACAATAGACAGTGGCTCAAGAAATGCAAATTGAGTCAAGTTGAAGCAGATAAACAAGCCTCGCTAATTTGCAGTAGCCACATATACCCTGGGAGTCTGGCGGTCAGCAAAGATGCTTTGTTTTCTGTCTTTCAAACCCTGACATATTTATAGAGACAGCAAACACACCACTCCATCAACAGGACTGATACATTCTTTCCCACACTTCAGGCTGTATTGCAGGCTTGGCCTGTGGCCCACTATGGCCCCTAGGTCTTCTTCAGTCATTTCTGTAACAAACCAGCATTTTGCCCATCATACCTGAAATGTTTAGTTAGAGACCCTCAGTGTAGGGTCTTTCCATAAATACATTTCCACGTTCACACATGTCCTTGACCTCAACACTTCAGGGGCCTATTCATAGAGTGATATGAACTGTCCCAGAAAGAGGTTTTTTGCTGAAGAAGGTTTTTTGGTATGGCAAGACAGAACTGGGGGCCCCAGAGACATCAGAGACACAGGTCGCAAGAGTCGATAGAGGGAAAGTGAAGCAAAAGAGGAACAGGAATGAAAAATGCATTAGAGAGAAGGGCTCATGGCCAACCCATCTATAGCCAAGATGCCCATGGACTTCAGGACCCAATGCAGGGCACTAAGAAATAGAGACACATCCTTCACTGTGTGGAGGCAGGCAGAGACAGAGACAGACACAGAGACAGACAGACAGAGAGAGAGAGAGAGAGAGAGAGAGAGAGAGAGAGAGGTCTGTAGAGCCAGAGAGGGATGCAGAGCAGGCCTGAGGTGGCCTGAGTACTGGTCTGACTCCAGCAAGCACAAAACTCTCCTCAGACATCTTCCCCCACAGGACACCAAGGCTAACAGTAGGAACCAGAGCATGCTGGGGAAAGAAGTCAAGGTCTCCACATCTGAGCCAGGGCACCCTCTGTTTGGAGATGGAGACTCCAGGGTCCCAAAATCAGGCTTTGGGGAAAGCAGGGAAAGGCAGGCAAGTGCCAGGGGGCAGGATTTTAGCCACTTGCAGTTACCCTCAATAAATCATGATCTTGCCTCTGAGTCCACACATAGGCTGTTCCTTCTGTCTGACACACCGTTCCCTACCATTCTACTCAAATTTCAAGACAGGGTTCAGAAGTCTCCTCCTCTGAGAATCCTTCCTGGAGGGTCTTTCTCTGGGTTGGGAGCTCCTGTGGGGCCTCGGGACCCTACTGGAACTCCTCCCTCTCTTCATCGGACTCCTAGTACCCTGAAGGCAGCACCCACTTTTCTCCATTTTTTCCAGAATCACAGGAGGCACTTAACAAATATTTACTAAATGACTATATAAAATGAAGATTTGGGGAATGAAGGGACAAGGTTGCTCCACGCTGGGCTCTGCTGAGGGTGTAGTGAATGGGGCTGGGGACATGAGCCTTTGAAATACAAGCAAAATTTTCTTAGAATCCTTCGGCTGCTCAACTGTAGGCATTTGAAATCCACCAATGTACCCAAAAATAGGGCTATGAGGAAACTAGAGGACCGGGGCCCAGAAGCAGTGCCTTGTGGAATATGGGACAGCTATGGGAGCTCATGGAGAACAGAGACTCCAAATTGGATGCCATCTTGGAAGTGGAGTCAGAGAAGCTCATGTGACAGCATGCCTGACATGCCACCATATGGGCTTCTGGCCTCTGTGCTCCAAGCCTTGGGGCTTTATGAGGATTGATTCCAGACGCAAAGTCAGGGTGTGTTTTGATGGGGTGGGGAGTACAATCTATGATATTCCTTGATAGGTTAGGACCGCAGAGGCCCTCAGGAGGAGATAGACTTCCGAAAAGAAGGAAGAAGGAGCCAGGCAAAGATTTATGCATCACACAGTTGGGCAGAAGCCTGACCAAGGACAGCCCCTCCCTTAATGCTCCAGTCGAGCCAGGACTGTCCAGATAGCTTTGAAGGGGCAGGGTGTGCAGTGCTCCCTAGAAGGCTGGCTAGGAGGGAAAGGGGGCCGGGGCAGGGGGCCTCGGTGTGGCAGGGCAAGTACCTTAGAGTACCTTGATGCCCATGCTGTAGCTACATAGCAGTTACTTGAACTTACACAAGTTCATATGTACCCATCTAAACATTATTACTTGTAACACATGTAGAAAAATAAGCAGAGGAAAATGGCTAGAATCTTACAGGACCAATACATTACATTTGTTGTCCAGGACGCACTTAAGCTGCCAATGCCCCAACCTGGGCAGGGCTGTGTTGGGGAGAGGTTGACCCCATCTAGGGCAGAGCCCCAGCCAACTCAACTGTCTTCTTGGAAGGTGTCCCAATTCCCAAAGCAATTTTCCAAGATCTGGTCTTTTGCAGTGCCCGACTCGTCCTCTCTGTTACCCTTCCCAATCCTGGGACTGCCGGAAGCTCCAGGGATTTGATTCTAGGGGTAAAACAGCTGGACCTACAGAGGCCATCCTCACCCACTGCCTGTCTCCATGCCCAAATCAGTCACACGGGACTGGACAGAACTGCCACATCTTGTCCAGACTGTCTATGTTGTTGCTTCATTGCTACCAGAGACAGCCATTCTAACCCGGCCTGACTCTCTTCTTCACAGTGAACTGGGAATTGCAAGGAAGGTAGAAAAGGCCCTTCACTATCTGGGAGACTTTCCTTCCTGGGGAATACAGAAGGGCTTTCCCTGAGTAGCCTCAGAAAGCAACACCAAGATTGCCGGATGCAAGTCTCAAGATTTCAGCTCAGCAAGAGGATCTGCTTCTTAGAAGGGCTGTGGAAGGATGGAGAGAATGACTGGAGATTTCAGCCCCTGTCCGTGCAGACGGTGAAAGGCAAGTCCACATTCTCCTTACCTAGACAGCCTTCAAACCACTGGTGATGCTAACTAGTGCTTTAAAAACCTATTTCCCTGCAATGTTCACTTAAGGAGTCCCCTCCTTGTGTTTTCCTGTTCTCCTCTGATTTCCTTTCTCCCATGGAAGGTTGCAGATGGCAGGATGCTGGATTTGAATCCTAGTCGCGTGGCCTGGAGACAACTCAGGGGACATCTGGCAATGTCTGGAGATGGTTTTGGATGTCACACTTTGGATGTCAACTGGAGGCTTTTGAAATCCACCAACATACCCAAAAATAGGGCTATGCTGGAACTAGAGGACCGTGGCCCAGAAGCAATGCCTTGTGGAATATGGGACAGCTATGGGAGCTCATGGAGAACAGAGACTCCAAACTGGATGCCATATCAGAAGTGGGGGTCAGAGAAGCTCAGGTGACACCATGCCTGACATGCCACCATATGGGCTTCCAGCCTCTGTGCTCCAAGGCTTGGGGCTTTATGAGGATTGATTCCAGACAGCAAAGTCAGGGTGTGTCTGGGGATGTTTTTGGATGTCACCAGTACCAGGTGCTACTGGTATCTTGTGGGGAGAGTTGAGGAAGCTGCTTAACATCCTCCAATGCCCAGGACAGTCGCCACCTCAAAGAATTATCTGGCCCCAAATAGCTCAACAGTACTGAGGTTGAGAAACCCTGGCTTAGAATGAACATCTCTTTATCCTTCTCTTCCTTTAGATCTTGACTTAAATGTCACCTCCTCAGAAAGACCTTTGTCAGCAGCTCTCCCACAGTATACCCTCTCCCATGTTTCTGGTCCCCCGTGAGTTTTCTTTCCATAGATCTACATGAGTTGCAAATTTATATATTTGTGGTTGACTTGCTTCTTGTCTCTCTTCCCCATTGGGCTTTAGGCTTCAGAACAGGTGAGACATTGTATCACTCATCACTGAATGCCCAGGGTCTAACACATAGTAGATGCTCAACAAATCACCCACTGAATGAATGGTTGGTGAAGAAATCTCTGTCAGAGAGGACAGAGGTTCACTGAATTCCAGACAAACCCAGAATGCCAGCATCTGTGTGAGGACACAAAGACCTCTCTTCTACCTTGTTCATCCTGTCGCCCACCACTCAGAAAAGGCCTCTGGTTATTGTTGGCCTGTATTTATTTCCTCCTGATATCCTGGTACCAGCCTTTCCAAAATTCTCACTGTAGTGCTGGAGGTCAGGGTATTTTTAAACTAGAAGAACTAGCCAAGCTGGTTTTTTTTTTTTAAGTGGTGGAAAAGAAAAACTAAGATTTGTTTTTAATCATTAGACTTTCAAATTTAAGAAGGCGCGATGCAAATAGCATGTTGGCATAAACAAGTGCTGCCCGCTCAATGGAGGGAGGGAGCCTTTCTTCTGAGCTAATTTAAGCTAAATACATGGCAGCTATTTTTCATCTCTACAATTGTGCAACTTTCTCCTCAGTTTACAATACAGGGGAGATATTATCGGGCAGAAGTTGGATGGGGGATAAGTGAAGACGAGAAGGAAAAGAAGAGGCAGTGGACAAGAAGGTACTCTCAGCCACCGAGCTGGTGATTAGAGGTATTTCAAGAGCTCAGGAGTAGAGCTGGTGGTCCACTAGGACCTCAAGATCTTATCTGGGTGGAAACTTGATTTTGAGCCTTCCATTCAGGGAAGAAACCAAAGAGCAATTGGAGTCAGGCTCCTTTTCCTGCCCTTTATATGCAGCACCCCCTGACTTCCCAGAAGCCCAGACTGAACAGCAGAAATTTTACAAACCTCCTCAAGAAAGAAAAGCCCTTGCAGCTCTCCTGCACACCACCACGCACACTGTTATTCCTTAAGGCCCCCATATGCCGTGACTTCCAGCCCAGCTGTTACTAGACTGGGCATAGCATTCAGGCCTTGTGGTGAAGCCGTCCCAGAAGATAAATGATTTTTCTCCAAGCAGGCAGATTACCGAGTAGGATCATACACAGAGTCTTAGAGACAGAATCTTTCTTTCTGCATTTTCCAAGTTCCCTAACTGAGAAGAAACATCTGCAGAGCGCTGATAGACTGTCCACCAACTACAGCCCAAATGGCTTGGCTTCTGGAAGTTTCTGAGGCCTGAGTTCTAAACCTACCTCTGCCTCTTAGAAGGGACCTGACTTAGGGGAGTTTATTATAGCTTCCCTCTCTGGGCCTCAGATCCTGCTTCTGTGAAAGGAGAAGAGTGAGATAAGGGAGGGTCACTCATATCCATCTTAAGTGGTAACTCGAATGCCCTGAAGCTACATCTGTGATCAGTGGGAAGGCATGCTGTGATGGATTAGTGATGTCTGCCAAGAGTACAGCAGGGGACACTGGTGGTAGATCCATTACATATTTGTACTCCTTGGACCAGATCTTTATCCTTCTAGATCTTAGAGGTCCTTCTAGATCACCATCCCAATGACTTGGTTGAAGATGAAAACTCAGGTGAAAACTTAACCCTTCTGAGGGTGTTACATCTTATATACTTTTCACATTGGCCTCCAAGCCATGGTATGTTGGAGAAGCCACCAACACACAGCAGATTTGACCCCTCCATTGGAAGACACCATCAGCCAGATGTGGTGTTCTTGTTCATGGAACCACTGTCCACATGGATGGAATCGGGCTCTAAGCTACCTTTCTCATCTCCTAGCAGTGTCTATGAATGCTAGTGGTCAGCTCTTTTCTGTGGGCCAGTACATTGACATTGCCTCCTTCAGTACCAGGTAAGGTATCAAGTCTCATTCACAGAGGTTGACCTTGTTGGAGATTCAGAAACAAGCCTGGGAAAGCTTGGGAAGAACAGCCTCCTATCAGGCATTTAGAGATTCAACCACACAATAGTGTCTTAAAAGTTCTGATAAGTCCTGCAATCAAGAAATTAGTTTCATTTTACCTAAGCATTTCCAATGCATGCTTGTCCCAGGACCCTTTCAATAATGCAAATCCGGCGAGTTTTC